>NC_000009.12:104281158-104432673 GCF_000001405.40 Homo sapiens
ATCAATCCCCACAGATACATCTTAGAGAAGGCTTTCCACCTGTGCACAGTGGAACACTTACAGTATCCTCCTAACTTCTTTTCCTGACTCTGGGCTCTCTTTCTCCAGGTAATAATCCACACTGCTACTGTCATTCTAATTTTTTTTTTTTTTTTTTTGAGATGGATTCTCGCTCTGTCACCCAGGCTGGAATGCAGTGGCGCAATCCCGGCTCACTGCAAGCTCCGCCTCCCGGGTTCACGCCATTCTCCTGCCTCAGCCTCCTGAGTAGCTGGGACTACAGGCGCCCGCCACCACGCCTGGCTAATTTTTGCATGTTTAGTAGAGACGAGGTTTCACTGTGTTAGCCAGGATGGTCTCGATCTCCTGACCTTGTGATCCACCCGCCTCGGCCTCCCAAAGTGCTGGGATTACAGGTGTGAGCCACCACGCCCGGTTCTGTCATTGTAGTATTACACATTTATTTATGTAATTTGCCTGCCTAAAATTCTTCATTGGTTCCCTGTTGCACAGAGAATCCTTTAGCTTCAATCCATTCCTCCATCCATTTGTCCTGGTAGACAAACACACAAACACAGACATACATACATATATTTCATGCACAGGAACACACCATTATCTGCACACATCATCTCTTATCAATAAAATAGATTATAACTTCCTTGTCTTAGACAAAATGCATCTCCATCACAACACTTACTCCAGTGTCCTCCATGTTGTTGTTCAATAAACAAATTTTCTCTAATTGGTTTGGTATTGTTGAACTGTATGATATTGGATAAGCTAACTTCTCTGCAATTCAGTTCTCACCTCAGTTAAATGTAATTTGTTCAGTCCCTTTTTGAACCACTGATCTGATGTTCTGTAAAACAATGCTACTGCCTTGCATCTGAGCCTTCCTCACCATTCTCCATGCCAGTGGCTTTCACTGGGCTCATCTTTCATACTCATCTGGACTTTTTTGTCACATTATTGAGGTCTATAGTGGATTTTAAGTGATTTACTGGCCTGTAATACAATTTGGACTTAGAAACACTCTGCTAGAGGATCTCTAGATTTCTTTCCATTTTCAATATGCTATAAATGTTCGATTTTTGATTTAATTGTTAGTCACATCAAAGTGACTATTGAGCTACTGGAAGTATTTTACAACTAAGGACTGATAAGAAATTTTGTCACATTATTAAGTGCTCCAATGTAAAATTTTAGAACGTTATATAGAAATGCTGTCACGTGCAGTTTTGTCTCATTGGCATATGGTTTATTAAAGTAAACTAGAAAGTATCTGAACACAGCTTCAACAGTTTCAGTAATGTTCAAAGTATAAAGCTGCATAGTGGGTTGACAGGTATATTTTTATAAGAGGCTTCATAACAAACAAATATGTTATACATATTATTTTGTACATTAAATATTACATAAAATCATATTTTGAGATATGAGGATTATGCATATATACTTATTGTTTATATATACTTATAATTCAGAAGAATAGGTGCATAAATGCAAGGCAGTGATCAACCACTACCCTGATTAACCCTTCAATACTTTCCCAGTCTCTACTGTAGCAGATTCTTTGCTTTTTTTCTTTTTAATTTAAAATTCAACAATACCAGTAGCAAGTCAGTTTCTGAATCAGGTCAGGCCATTGCCCATTTTCATGCTAACTTCTTAGCTTGCAAAGACTTTGTTCTTCTGTTGTTTAGAGAAACTTTCTAGAATCCATTTAAGGGACACAATCTTTTTGAAGTTTTACTTTATATTTTCCCAACTGTCAAGCTCTTAGAAGTTTCTTTGTATCACTTTCTTTGTACCCTCAAACTTCATTTTCTTTCTTTCTTTTTTAATTGAGACAGGGTCTCATTCTGTCATCCAGGCTGGAGTGCAGTGATGTGAGTACGGCTCTCTGCAGCCTCGACCTCCTGGACTCAAGTGATTCTCCTGTCTCAGCCTCCAAAGTAGCTGGAACTACAGGAATGTGCCACCACACCTGGCTAATTTTTGTGCTTTTTGTAAAGATGGGACTTTGCCATGTTGCCAGACTGGTCTTGAACTCCTGGCCTCAAACAATTTGCCTGCCTTGGCTTCCCAAAGTGTTAGGATTTCAGACATGAGCCACCATGCCCAGCCTGTGCCCTCGAACTTCTACTGTAAAACCAAAAATACTTATTTTGCCATTTTTATCTTACATGTCTGAGTTCACTCTCCCCATATCCCTCCCTTAAGAATGAGAACTTCTTCAAGAAAAGGACCAGCCTAGCACATAGTAAGTGCTTAGTTAATGCTGACTGGAAAAATGGATGATGAAAGATACAGAACAAAATTTGCATATGAATTGAATAGGATCAGTGGTTGTAGGAGGCATCATGAGGAAATAGTGACGCAAGAAGGACCCTTGCCATGAAATCCAACATGATTCATTTCAATCACTCTTCTGTGTTAGAACCTAAAAGTCAATCAACTGTGCCCAGACAAAGTAAAGCCCAAGGAGATTCTAAAGGATGCCCTTAGATAGATAATCACTTACAGGTTAACATGAAAGTCTTTGTGTACTATATCAAAAGATTCTTGCTACTTGATAAAAATTCAGAATCATGGGCCCCAACGCAAACCAGAAATTGAATTTTAATATTATCCCCTGGAGATTTATATGCAGAATATTTTGAGAAGCACTTCCTTAAAGTAACAGTTTTAGGACTGAATGCCAGCCATAAACTATTATTCTACCAAAATTTTTAAATACAAGTTTGTTATCATGTAGTAGCCGACAATGGTGACTATAATAAATAAGATTTCAGGTCAAACAAAAATTTGAGGTTGACAGTAGTGTAAATAGAATCTAATTAATAAATTTAAATAGTTATTCCTTATTTATTACTACTTGAATGAGTTTCCTTTTAGAAAAAATATACATATACCATATAACTTTTACATTATATGTGTTAAAAACAGATGGACTATTCCATACATGAAACACACATGAATGCATATACCAAGGCAGAAATGCATTGGTAGAGTATGTTTATGAAGTCCATTAAGATTTTGTAAAGCATTTAGAGAAGCAGAATGGCATAGTGGCTAAAAGCACAGACTCCAGGGATAGACTGCCTGGAGTTAAATCCTTACTTTGTGCTTATTAACTATATGACCTTGGTCAAGTTTTAGAACCTCCATTGCTCAATTTCCTCATCTATAGAATGGAGATAACAATAGTGTCTGACCCAAAGGGTGGTTATGAGGGTTCAATAAAGTGTAAAATTCTTTAAAAATTCTTAAAACACTGCCTGGCACATAGTGGTATATATATATATATATATATATGTATGTATGTATGTGTGTGTATATATATATATGTGTATATATATATGTATGTGTGTATATATATACACACACACACATACATACATACATTTATATGTAGGGGAGAGGAGACAGAACAAGAAAGAGTATAAGCAAGCTATTATTACTATTGTCATTATTAAAGGTTTACCATATGAGAAAACACAGGTTGGTCTGAACACAAGAATTAACCCACCACAAATTAAGTGTATTAATTGAGTGTATTAATCAGAATTCTCCAGATAAGAAAAACCAGTAGGATATACATGGATATATAAGAGGAATTTATTATGGGAATTAGCTCATATAATTTTGAAGGCTGACAAGTCCCACATTATGCCATTTACAAGTGGGAAACCCAGGAAAGTCAGTGGTGTAATTCAGTGAAACTTCAAAGGCCTGACAACCAGAGGAGATGATGGTATAACTCCCTGTCCCAAACCAAAAGCCTGAGAATCGGGGAGTGGGTGCTGGTGCAAGTCTGAGTCCAAAGGCCAAAGAACCAGGACATCCCATGGCCAAGGGCAAGGGATGATGGACGTCCCAGGCCAAGAAGGGAAGAGAATTTTCCCTTTCTCTGCCTTTTTGTTGTGTTCCAGCCTCAACAGATTGGATGATGCCTGCTCACATTGGTGAGGTAGATCTTCTTTACTCAGTCTATCAAGTCAAATGTTAGTCTCTTCTTTTGGAAACACTGCCCCTGCCAGACATAGCCAGAAATGAGCCACCTGGGTACCCCTTAGACCATTCAAGGTGACACTAAAATTTACCATCACAAAGAGGCAGAGAAAAGAGGAGGGCAAATGTGAAACTGTGAAGTAATGAGCATGATTGGAGCTCAGAGCATGAACAATCAGGAAATACAAGACATTCAGGAGAGTTAGGCTACCTTCAAGAACACAGATGCAGGGAAGAGGAAGAAACCAGCAACTATGAGCCTATACAATGTGCCAGTAACAGTGACATCAGCCTTTAAATATATTCGATGGTTTACTCTTCAACTCACTGATGAGATCTGTATTGTTTACTTCATATCACAAATGTGAAAACTCAGGTGCACAGAAGCTAAATGAAATATTAGAGAACAAAAAACAATGGGCTGGGCACAGTGGCTCACACCTGTAATTCTAGGACTTTGGGAGGCCAATGTAGGTGGATCACTTGAGCCCAAGAGTTCAAGACTAGCCTGGGCAACATGGAGAAACCCCATCTCTACAAAAACTTCAAAAATAAGCTGGGTGTGGCTGCACACGCCTGTAAGTCCCAGCTACTATCGAGGCTGAGGTGGGAGGAGGATTGAACTTGGGAAGTCAAGCCTGCAGTGAGCCATGAGCATGCCACTGCACTCCAGCCTGGGTGACAGAGCAAGATCTTGACTCTCAACCCCCAAAAATGAAAGGTGACAGAGCTTGACTTAAACACAGGACTGGTTAGATTTTACAATCCTATACCTCATACTTATCTAAGTAAATCCTTTTTTTTTTTTTTTTTTTTAGTTAGCCAATGGGTAATAGGTTAACCCTTTCCAACATGACTAACCTCTTTAATGAAATGAAGGTGATGAAGATGAGGAGGAAGATCATTGTGATAACGGTGAGCAACACTGGTGTAGTGCTTACTGTGTGCCCATCACTATTCTGAACATATTGCTTGTGTTACATTTTTTAATCCTACCAAAACTCTATGAGGTGGGTATATTATTATTATCATAATTCCTATTTTATAGATAAAAATATCAAGGCACAGAGAACGTAAGAAATGTACCCTAGGTAACATGGGTAATAATGGAGGAAGAAAGGAAGAGGAAGAAAACAGCAATTAATGAACATAGACAATGTGCCAGGAACAGTGACATCAACCCTTAAATATATTAGCTGGTTTAATCTCCTGGACTCTGACCCCAAGTATAGAGCCAGTTCCCTGTTCTTTACCATCACACTGTACTGGTTCCTTGTAAAACAGCAAGAACAACAAAATGTTGGTGGAGAGGCAATGAATTCATGTTTTTGAGGATCTATTGTGTATTAGAGCACAAGCCCCCATATTTAATTCTAATCACTAAAATGTGAAGTGAGAAGAAGTTTTGATGTGAGACTTTAGACAGTTGGGAAACAAAATGGGCTACATAAATGGGAGAAGTGGAAGACCCTGAAAATATCCATGTTTCAGTTGAATTTGAATTAACAAAAAATGAAACTCTTAACCAGGAATCAGCAAAAAGTTTATGTAAGGGGCTAGATAATAAATATTTTAAGCTTTGGGAAAATATACTCTCTGTCACAACTTTCCACCTCTGCTGTTGTAGCATGAAAATGGCCAGAGATGATACATAAGTGAAAGGGTTTGGCTGAATACTAATAAAACTTTATTTACACAACAGCTAGTGGGCCAGATTTGGCCCAAAGCCCATAGTTCTCAGACCCTTGTTCGTAATCTTCAGGTAATAAAAAGAACACAATGCTTTTCGTTTATGGTTACCAGGCAGTATGATTCATGAGAAAGGAACTATGGTGTTATTTAGGATTCTGTATCTTAAAAGTTGAAATCACAGTGATGAAACCTGAAGAGTTGCTGAAATATGTAAGAGCAAAGCTACAAAGGGCTGACTCTGCCAGTGATCTATTTTTGGAAAGGCAAAATATTTTAAGGATGTGGATGCTTTGCTTTATGCCCCAAGTTACAGGTAAAGCATGAATCATTCCACGAGCAATAAACCCTGGAGATCTTAAAATTATGAAAATAAGGTTAAGGTTATTTTCTTCGAAAATAGCTTCTAAAGTGAGGTGTCAGATTGAGATCACAAATTGCGTTCCTCACTTTTTTCTTCTCTGCTTCTCATCCTATCACCAGGGATGTATACTACCTCTATGATGAAAAATTATGGTCATTTTGTCTCGAAAGATATATTGCATCCACATATGGGCCAAGTGATTTAATCTTGATTAGTGCTGTCTGAAGGCTTGTCAGATGGGTTAGCGATTGGTCATGTATTTCACAGCACTGCTATTAAATCTACTGGGAATTAACATGTTAAATCCATAATCATGCTTTATTGCCTGTATAATCCTGGGTTAACTGAGAAAGAAGTTGATTCATTTTTCACATGTTCACCAAAGTGAAGTCATATTTTTCCCTTAACTAGTAATTAACCTTTATGGCTTTATTAACTGCTTTACTAAATTTAAATGAAATGTTTATTGGAAAGAGTTCATGGGAAGTGTAAACCACAATGACATCATGGCCCTGGTGATGTCCTGTTTCTTGGAACTTCTCTATTAAAAATGTTCATATTACAAGTAGCCCATTTTTTATCATGAGGTACTAGTGCTTGTAACTTAATAGGCAGTGTCGTATAACAAAAACAGCAATGGCTTTGGAGTCACACAGACCTGGATTCAAATCATATCTAATCACTTACAAGCTGTGTGACCTTAAGCAAGTTCCCCAATATCTCTGAGCCTCAGTTTCCTTACATGTAACTTAGGAATAATAATAGCTAATTCAGACCATTGGTAATAAAAGAGGTGAATGAATTAGCAGGGAAGATTAGAGAGGTAGTTAATTTACAAGAGGTAATTTTTATCAGTCTATTTTTGGTTAGAACAAGATTTTTGTATTGCGCTCATATAGAAGAGAGAGAAAACTGGAGGCCATAGAATAGTGTCTGTTTCTAAATTCTCCCCAACTTTCCTTAGCCCCATGGACTAGACATGAACCCTATGTAGAGACAATCTGTGACATAGGCTGCTAATATATTTTATTAAGAGTCTTCAGAACTGCCACTAGTCTAAATAGTCCCATTGTGCAAGTGAAACAAAGGTGCCCCTTGGGGCAGAGATAACCCTGTGGACACATGGCTTGACAAGCCGATGAAGTTTTGTGTAAAGATGATGGGCTGAGCCTCATAGCTTGGTAAGCAGAGCATGGGTTTGGTGTCACCTCCCCTAGACTCTCCGCAGGGTGCTGTTGCTTAGATGCCAAAACACATCTGCACATGGTACTCTGAACCCCAGAGTTTTAACTTGGCATCTGATTATCCAGTCGAGACAAATTTCCCAGTCTCTGTCCCAGATAGGTGTGGTTATGTGAATAAGTTACAGGTAGAGGGATGTGTACGGAAGTGAAGTCTATAATAGCTTCCAGTCATCTCCTTAAGCAAAGATTCCTTTTTTCCTCTGTCTGGGAAATGGTAACAAGGTAGCAATTTTGGATACAAAGATAAAAGCCATATTTGGAGGATGGCAGGAGCTAATTCATTAAACTGGGTGAGACAGAACAACTAACATCAGCCCCAGGCTTCTCACTTCTAGAAAACACATCGACAGAAATAAACTTTTATCATGCTGAAGCCACAATGTGTTGGAATCTTTTTGTTATATCATTCTAGCTCATATTCTACCTAATATGGGGCTTTTAGACCTGAGTTAAAGGAGTATTTTTATGAGGGTCTGATTTCCAGTGACACAAGTAATGTTGTTTGGGTGCCAGGTGAAAAGGGATGATGAAGTATAGAAGGGAGCATGTACAATGCTTTGGCACCAGAGGCAGTGCCTAGAAAAACTGCAGCACAGCAGTGATTGTGAGTATAATACATGATAGGAGATGACAGATGCCCAAGAACCTGGGCATTGCAGCGACTCTATGTGGCTGAACTGACACACAGATCTTCTTACGGACTCCCTATTACGCTTAGTGAGAGCAATGTCACAGGTGCCTAAGATCTGTATAGCAGATAATGGTAAAAAGCAGACATTTTGAGCCATTATTGTTACTCTGACCCCACCTGTACTCACACGCTGATAGGACTTTGAGTCAATCAGGGACCAATCAGGAAAATAGAAATCACATTATTTATTTCAAACAGAGGTACTTTGATAGAGGATATTTGTGTCAAAGTGTTTGAAGTGTTGAGGAAGATAAAGGAAAGGTGGAGTAACACAGAGACTGGAAACTACAGGAAGGTCCTAGGATTGTAGGGACAAAAAAAGAGGAAATGATACTAACAAACCCAGGTGAGTACTCACTACTGATGGTGGTGGTGGAGACCACTACAATGATTGCAACTGCTTCTCCTAAAACTATTGACTTCTCTGGGGCTTGTAAATCCTAGCAGACATTGCCCGTGACCCATTACTACTCTTGCTAGAAACTACGAAGGCCACTGGAGATCAAAGTTTCCTGATGCTACAAGATGGTGAGAGGAGAGAGAGAAGACAGAGAGAAACCTTCGGAAACTAGGGTTGTTTGATTCTCTTATATATTCGCAATACTAATTTTTTTCAGATGAGTAGCTTGCAAATATTTTCTCCCATTCAACATGTTGTCTCTTCACTCTGTTGATCATTTCCTTTGCTTTTATGGCCTGTGCTTTTGTAGTCTTAGCCATAAAATCTTTGCCTAGACCAATATCCTGAAGTCGTTTCACTCTATTTTTTTTTTCTAGTAGTTTTACAGTTTGGGGTATTATGTTTAAGTCTTCAATCTATCTTGAGTTGATTTTTGTATATGGTGAGAAATAGGGCCAAGAACTCAAACAACTTAACAGCAAATATATATATTTATATATATCTCTCGTTAAAAAGTAGGCAAAGGACCCAAATAGACATTTCTCAAAAGAAGATGGGAGTAGCCAACAGGTATATTTTAAAAATGCTCATAGCATTAGGAGATACACCTAATGCTAAATGATGAGTTAACGGGTGCAGCACACCAGCATGGCACATGTATGCATATGTAACTAACCTGCACATTGTGCACATGTACCCTAAAACTTAAAGTATAATAATAATAAAATAAAATAAAAAAAGAAATTAAAACAAACAACAAAAAAAATAAAATAAAAAATGCTCAACATCACTAATCATCTTGGAAATGCAAATAAAAAACACAGTGAGGTATTATCTTGCCCCAGTTAGAATGGCTATAATCAGAAAGACAAAAAATAATAAATGCTGGTGAGAATGCAGAGAAGGTCACAAAGACAAAAAATAATAAATGCTGGTGAGAATGCAGAGAAGGGAACCCTTATACACTGTTCATGAGAATGTAAATTAGTACAGCCATTATGGAAAACAGTGTGGGGTTTCTCAAAAAACTAAAACTAGAACTACTGTATGATCTGGCAATCCTACTACTGAGTATTTATTCAAAGGAAAGGAAATCAGTATATCGAAGGGATGCCTGCACCCCATGTTTATTATGACACTGTTCACAATAGCCAAAATATAAAATCAACCTAAGTATCCATCAACAAATGAATATATAAAGAAAATGTGGTATATATGCACAATGGAATATTCAGACATAAAAATAATGAAATTCTGTTATTTGCAGCATCATGGATGAAACTGAAGGCCATTATGTTAAGTGAAATGATGCAGGAACAGAAAGTTAAATATTGCATGTTATCACTCATACATGCGAGTGAAAAAAGTTGATCTCATGGAGGGAGACAGTAGAATGATGCTTCCAAAAGGCTGGAAGGGTAGAGGAGGGTGGATGAAGAGAGGCTGGTTAATGCATAAAAACATACAGTTAGAAGGAATAAATTCTAGTGTCCAACAGCATAGTAGGGTGAGTATAGTTAGCAAAAATTTTTTGTGTATTTCAAAATAACCAGAAGAGAAGGTTTGAAATGTTCCTAACACAAATAAATGATAAATATTTGAGGTGATGAATATCCCAAATACCCTGAGTTGATGGTTGTATGCATACAGCAAAATATCACATGTACCCCATAAATAGGTAAAATTATGTATTGCTAAAAATAAAGCTAAGGTTGGAATATGTATTCATTTTATAAAGGGAATTCTCACATTAATGGGGAGAAATTAGAGGCCAGAGAGGCCAGAAGCAGGGAAACCAGGTTGGAGGTTGTGCCGTCCCAGAAGTGTCTAGAACAATGCAGGGCAGATGATGAACCTCTAATTTGTATACGTGATCAGGATATTAAATATAAACCTTTCTGTTTCTTTAGCATCTAATATTAACTTCTATCTTCCTTTTAAATACACCAGAGTAAGTTCATGGCACATAAACTATTCTTTAAGCAGAGAATAATATCATACTGTACCTGACATATACTCCCATTGCTCCACATTTTGTAAATTTTTCATAGCAGGAAGTTTATTTCATAGCAAATTATGAAACACTGAATTAAACATAAACCTGAATGCTGAAGGAATAACAGCAGCATGTCAAAATTTCCTCTGCTCTTGGTTAAATTTTAATAAAATTTGCTGGCCTTCAGACATGGGCACTTAAGGCTTGTCACTGAATAATTCTAATAAATGAATGATATACATACTCAAATATATATTTTTAAATGTACTAATTTTTGTGGGAACATTGATGCCTATTTACTGCACTTTGAAATTATTTTTTTTTCTCAAATGATCATTCTGTCTCAGGTTTTGATGCTTTTGGTACACAAATTTTATCTCCATTCTTTCCATGGACCGGTACCTCCGATGCCTAGCTCATATGAAGACTAAGGAATCCTGCTTATTGGGATTGCAACGACTATTTAACTATGACAGAGCAGGCCCGTAAGATCTGACCCTATTTCTATCTCCTCATACAAATGATGGGGCTTCATTTATCACATCATTTCAAAATGATGCCTTTTACACCTGACTGGTTTTCCTTGGGTCAATATTACTGACAAATGACTATCTCCTTCAATACCAACCGGTGATAACTCTTAATGTGTCTTATACTTGTAAAAGATTAATCTAAACTCAGAGTGTACTTGAAAGCCAGGAGAAGTCACACCAAAGAGTATTTCTAAGTTTCTTGAATGCCCGACACTGTGCTACATTCAAAATATACAAACTATGTAAGATAATAATTACCATTCTTTGAATGCCTGGCAATAGGCTGAGCATTTTACACACATTATTTCAGTTAGTCCTCTCAATTATGCTGAGAGGTAAGTATTTTCATGCCTGTTTTATAAAGGAGGAGACAGAGAGTTGGTGACTGTAAGCAATTTGCCAGGGATTACAGAAATAGTGAACAGTAGAACTGGGATTCAAACTTAGGTCTGACTAAACCCAACACACATGTTACCTGGCATAATCTCAGACAATATCACAGTGTTTTAGGGTTAATCATCTCCTTTAGGGCATTAAAAAAAAAAGACCCACGTGGCCATTTTATTATTGATATCTTCTCATGGGCCTCTATCTACACACACAAATTTTAATGGAGATAACTTGCCCAAGCAAATACACAATCAGCAAAGCATTGGCCTTTATCTGCACTGATGAGTCTGCCATTTGCAGTGTTCCCATGTCTCTCTAATCTTATCCATGGCTTTTACCTTATATGTGTGAGTGTCCTCTAGACCCTTCCCCTGCGCATCTTTTGGCATCAGATCCGCCTTCACTACAACAGGGGATCAGGCAGTGAGGCTTCAAGGCCCCTTGACCCTTCTCTGTCCCATACTGGTACCCTTGAGCCCCTTGTTTTCCTCACTCTACAAACCCCAAGATTCTCAGATTTCCTTTTTTTGTCTAGTACACTTCTAGGGCCTGCTGCACCCAATAGAGTAAGAGTCAGTCTGCCAAGCTCCCCTCTTTTCACACTGCCTGCAAGCATAAACCACCAGGCCTTTTGTGTGTGTGTTTCAGAGATTTTAACCCTAATTTAAAACAGGGAAAGATACAAATAAGCAAGGAGAAGAGACAGAAGTGCAAAAGTATATTATTGCTTCTGACTCCATTAAGTTGGGGAGCATTCATCTTAAAATCGCTGATTATGCTCAATCCTACCTAAATAACTGATGACCCTTCCATGTCAACATGAGAAAGTTCAAACTCCTTATTAGGGCTTTTAAGGCCTCATACAATGTGTTCCCTGCTGTGCTGTCCAGTGCCACCTCTTATGACCCTTACCTGTTTATCTCACCTCCAGACCCAGAGCACTGCAACCCATGATCCTTTACACTTACCTTCTGTGCACCTGCTATTGCCCCTGCCAGCCTGACTGCTTCCCTACCCAGACCAGGAAAATGACATTGTCCTGCAAATATCAGCTCCTATTTCATTTCCCCATGAAACCTTCCCCAATTCCCTCAGGCATCATGAATGGCACTTTCCATTCTGTTCACCTGACAGTGCTTTGTGCCTGACTCTCTTCCAGGCCCTTGTCTCACTGCATTATAATCATGGTTATGTGCCTGTGTCTCCTGCTTGAATTAGATGTTATTAATGGCAGAGACTATGTTTTGTTGACCTCTCAGTGCCTTAGCACTTCCTGAAAGTGCCTGGATTTTGCCCCCAACATTTTCTGAATACATAAATGAGTAAGTAAATGGATAAATGAATCAATATGCTTGAGACGAGGGCAAGTTATTATCATAACCATGTGCCATGCATCCCAAGGCTAGAAAGGTGAATGACAGTTACAACAATTCCTGTATTTATAATGTCCCTATTCACATCACATTGCTACAGGAGTTTAGCATTTTACACCAATTTTTTTCTACCTAAGAATGTAGAAGAATTGTTCTTTCCCATCAAGAAGAGGCAGTGTGTCAGTCTTATGTGAGTCCTGTGACCAAGCAGTATCCTCCACGAAGCGATTGCATGTCAGCTGGTGACATATTATGGCAGGCATCACTGCAAGCAGCTCCCTTTGGCACAGAAGAGAGTTAATGAAGGGATAGGAGAACGTCTTGAAAGATTCAGGCAGCCTGGCTGGGAGCTGGGATGCAAGAGAAACAGAGGCCTTCCTCTCAAGCACATGGAACGGGGTCCATTTGTGGACTTGGAGGAGAGCAAGGTTATCAGAGAAGCCTTCTGTTCCCACCTTCTCAAGTTGCTACAGGCACTTCTACGTGGGGCTTGTCCCTTTTTTCTCCATGTTCTGAAGCAGGAAGCCAAGGTATTCCTAGAGATCATTTTAGTGTCAGGACCATCAAAGATGGGTGCCTGTCCTCATCTGTTTTGGGGGAAAAGGAACAAATGGAATGTGGAAAAAAGGTGGACATTCTCTGATCTTTTGAGGCCTATTTTTCCTGAGAAAGGATTCTCTCTCCTTCTACTTTCTAATCTTCAGGTAATACGATACCTCCTATCTGGAAAATAAAGGTGCTCTACTGATGAGAACATTTATATCTGTATTTGGTATTATTCAAGATTAAGATATGGGTCCAGCTCTCAGGAAAAAACATGGAGAAACATGAGCTAATCAATGATGACTCCATGGTAAGCATGCTTCACGGAGCACATGAGAACAGGGCACTATAAGGACATGCTGGGGGACGTCTAATCATTCTCTCTATGGTTAAATTAAAGCATCCTGGGGGAAGCAGGACCTGAGCTATGAAAAATCATCAGAAGTTTAATAGACTGAAAAGAGTAAAAAAGGTTTTCAGGTCAAGTGAGCAACATATGTGAAGGTAGGGAGCAACATAATGTCTCTTTTGGGAATTATAACCTGACATGACTGACATACACATTGGGAAGTAGAGAATGGGAAAAAATGATGCAGGAGAGTTAGGTTCAGGCAAGGGTGTGATGGGCTTTGTGAGCAATGTTGAAAAGCCGAGACTTTATATTAATGCTTCAGGTGGGCAGCTGAGGGCCACATTCCAAGAGGCCAAATCAAGTAAGAAGATACAGCCATGAAGAACCTAGTAGACAGAGCTGTTTCTTTCCACATCCGATTCCCAGTGTGGAATGCAAGGGGTTGGGTTTCCTTAGGCTCTCACAGCAGAAATCAGCAGCCTATGCACTATGAGAACAAGTGCCTCAAGTAGCCAGAGGTAAAGCTACTAGGAGCTTGGACAGGATATAGCTAATTGCTTACACTTTCTTTTTTTTTTTAAGATGGAGTCTCACTCTGTCGCCCAGGCTGGAGTGCAATGGCGAGATCTCAGCTCACTGCAACCTCTGCCTCCCAGGTTTAAGCAATTCTCCTGCCTCACCCTCCTGAGTAGCTGGGATTACAGGCACATGCCACCACACCCAACTAATTTTTGTATTTTTAGTAGAGATAGGGGTTTCACCATGTTAATCAGGCTGGTCTCAAACTCCTGACCTCGTGGTCCACCCGCCTCAGCCTCCCAAAGTGCCGGGATTACAGGCATGAGCCACCAGGCCCAGCCTTGCTTGTGCTTTTAATCAAATCATTTCACTTCCATGAGCCACCACTTTTCTTTTTTTTAAACCTGCAATGTAGATATAACAATGTCATTCCCACAGCCTTTTTGAGTATTAAGTAAAACAACACACGGGAACAGTGAAAAGTGCCTAACACAAAATCTAACACATATTTAGTGCTCAACAAATTGGTTAAACTTAGATTGTGACATATTTAGAACTTTACACCAACACTCACCAACAGAACTTTCTGTGATGATGGAAATATTTTATATTTGTGTATTGTAGTATTATATTGCTTTGTAGCCACTAGCAACATGTGACTATCAGGCACTTGAAATGTGGCTACTGCAATCAGAGAACTGAAATATTAATTTTATTTCATTTTAATTTGTTTAAGTAGACACATGTGGCAAAGTGCTAGTATACTGGAAAACACAGCTTAATTTTCTACAAATTCTTTACATAAATAAAATATTTTATTCTAAAAATATTTTTAAACCCCATAAGTTTGTTGATTACCAATTTTGATAACCTAAAAATAATTATAGTATCTGTACTTAGAATTCTACTCTATTTACCAGCCTGAATTTTGAAATATCTTTGATAAAATTTTTTTAAATCATGAGAATAACTTTGATTTTGACATATCTACATACATATTATAAAATAGATGAATACTGGCCGAACACGGTGGCTCACGCCTGTAATCCCAGCACTTTGGGAGTTTGAGGCAGGCGGATCACCTGAGATTAGGAGTTCAAGACCATCCTTGTCAACATGGTAAGACCTCCTCTCTACTAAAAATACAAAAATTAGCCAGGTGTGATGGCAGGTACCTGCAATCCCAGCTACTCGGGAGGCTGAGGTGTGCGCTTGAACCCGAGAAATAGAGGTTGCAGTGAGCCGAGATCGCGCCATTGCATTCCGGCCTGGGAAACAAGAGTGAAACTCCATCTCAAAAAAATAAAAAAATAAAAATAGATGAATACTATAATTAATTTTAAAAAGAAGATTACATAACAGCATCTATAAAGTGATACCATTTATTTTTAAAAATATATATGTGAAAATTGTAACACTTTATCACAGGAATACCAACTTATATGTGATATTTTTTATCTCCTCTCTGAGTGTTTTGTATAGCCGAATCTTTTTCAATGAATAGAGGTTAATTTTATAATTTGAACTATTTTGCTTTTGTTTCAAAAATAAAAATGCGCTAACTAAAAAGATTCTGGGAAACAGAATAAAAATGTATTCACAGAAAGACAGCCTATGTTTATGTCTCCATTTAAGGCATTTAATCTTTTATTTCTGTCATAAGTAAAGGACTAGCCCATCTTGATTAAAGTTAAGGAAGGCCAGGCATGGTGGCTCACGCTTGTAATCTCAGCACTTTGGGAGGCCAAGGTGGGCGGATCACGAGGTCAGGAGATCGAGACCATCCTGGCTAACATGGTGAAACCGCGTCTCTACTAAAAATACAAAAAATAGCAGACGTAGTGGCGGGTGCCTGTAGTCCCAGCTACTCGGGAGGCTGAGGCAGGAGAATGGCGTGAACCCAGGAGGCGGAGCTTGCAGTGAGCCGAGATCGCGCCACTGCACTCCAGCCTGGGCGACAGAGCCAGACTCCGTCTCAAAAAAAAAAAAAAAAGTTAAGGAAAAGTGAGTTGAATCTGCTTGTCTCAGATTCATTCACTTCCTTTATCAAGAACATGCTACTAAGAAAAAGCAAATAGGTCACGTCACCCTGTCCAACTTTGTTAACATGGTAATTAGACCTCTTGGCAAATAATCTAATAATATTTGCTGAGATAAGTGTCTTTAACTATTGGGCATTCTTAACAGGATGTCTCTGGTTATGTACTACAGAAATTAAACCCAGAATCTCTGGGTTTATTAGCATGACCCCCCAACCCCTTGGAAAATGGCATGCAAGCTGAGGTAAATAAAATGAGGAAACGTCAAAAAGTTCATGAAAAAATGAAATTAAAAGCTAAATATAAAAAGTGTATATAAACTTTATTCCTCAACATAAGCGCCATCAATATTTTTGTAAGCAATGAAACCAGCCACTTACTACATTCCTAAAGAATTGAGGGTCCTGTGAAAGTAACCAAGTCAATGCAGTCTTTACATTATTAACTAAAGAAAGCTGAGTGCCTCTTAAAGATTTTTTAAGATTAGGAAACTAAAAGTCAGAGGACCAAAATCAAGACTGTAAGGTGGATGCCTAATGATTTCCCATTGAAACTCTTGCAAAATTGTCTTTGTTTGATGAAAGGAATGAGCAGGAACATTGTTGTAGTGAAGTGGGACTCTCTGGTGAAGCTTTCTCAGGGGTTTCCTGCTAAAACTTTGGCTAACTTTCTCAAAATCCTGTCATTATAAGCAGATGTTACTATTCTTTTGCCCTCCAGAAGGTGAACAAGCAAAATGCCTTGAGCATCCCCAAAAATCTGTTGCCATGATCTTTTGACCAGTTGCTTTTGCTTTGACTGGACCACTTCCATCACCCCTTGGTAGCAATTGCTTTAACTGTGCTTTGTTCTAATGCCACGTTTCAACTCCCCGTAAAATTCTTTGAAGAAATCCTTCATGGTCTTGATCCCCCTTGTTTAAAATTTCCCTTGAAAGGAGCTGGAGGCCATTATTCTAAGTGAAGTAACTCAGGAATGGAAAAATCAAATATCATATATTTTCACTTATAAATGAGAGCTAAACTATGGGTATGCAAGGGCATACAGAGTGATATAATGAATTATGAATACTCAGAAAGGGGAGGATTTGGAGGATAGAGGGAGAAAAAACTACATATTGGATATAATGTAAACTACCTGGATGACAGGTACACTAAAATCTCAAACCTCATCTATACGATTCATCCATGTAACCAAAAACCATTTGTACCCTAAAAGCTATTGAAATAAAAAATATATACTTTTTTTTTTTTAAAGAAAGCTCTGCTGTCATCTGCAGCTCACCTGGGGACAATGATTTTGGAACTCACGGATTATTAAAGTTTGCTCAACTTTAATTTTTCAGTCAGAATTGGGCAAGCTGAACCATTGAGATGTCTACAGTGATGACTATTCTTTTGCTATTAATTTTTGATCCTCTTCAATTAGGCCATGAACAAAATGAATTTTTTTCTTGAAAATTGATGTAGATGGTCAGGTCAGCAGATGAAACCTGCTGCAGGTTCCATCTTTGACATCATCTCATTCCTTCTTAAAATGAATTATCCACTTGTAAACTGCTGATTCCTTTGGGGCATTGTCCCCATAAACCCTTCATAGAGCATTAATGATTTCATCATTCTTCCACCCAAGCTTCACCATAAATTTGATGTTTGTTTTTCCCTCAATTTTAGCTCTGATAGGGGCTCTTTCCAGACTGATGTCTTATTTTTCTCGGTGCCTCAAAATAGATCTTGTTCAGACATGTCATAAAAAGTTAATACTAATTTATTATGGTGCAAACAATTTTTAGCAATTGATGCATAGATTTTTCATAATACACATTTCCCAAGAACTTTTTAAAGACACTTCATAGAATGTTTTGTAAATAATTAATAACTGCTTCCCACTGTATGATTCAATAACCTATGTATCTTACTCACAGACCTTGTCTACTCTGAGCCAGAGACTACGTGTCCAGTGCAGAAGGAAGACCTGGGGCATAGTCCTCAGAGTCCCAGAAATCTCCCAGTTTTGTCTTAGCCTCTTGAATGCCCATATTCTTGAAATTATTGGTAATGTTTGATACTCTGAAAAATCTCTGGTTTATGTGAGTCTGACAATCAGATTATTTGCATTGACTCAAAGCTTATACAAACCTCATTTATTGTCAGCTCCAGTAAATTCTATTCCCTGCATAGAAGACAGACATAAGTAAAAAGAGCAAAGATCTCCACTTTTTCCACAAGTTCTTCTCTTCCTTTTTAGTAGCCTTACTGGTGCAGAGGCAAGTATTTGCTATAGTAACATCAACAGTAATAAAATAATATATTCTTTTGTTCATACTCCGCCCTAACAAAAAGAATTTGAGATGCCTACCTTAATTGTGTACATTCAACATTTAATTAATTAATTGTGGTTTTGTTATCACACTACGCGTTCCTCAAGGCCAAGGGGTATGCTCATTTTATATCCTCAGCAGGTATGCTAAACAAACATTTTTTTTGCCAGTGTGTTTCTCTTTATTAAATTTAACCAGGTATACCTGACCATTTCCAGATTTTCTTAGATTTTTTTGAGTAAATATAGAATTTTAACCCAATACGTTTAGCATTTGAGCTCAGTCAAGTCTACGTTTTATGCTCCCACCTCTCTCTCTCTCTTTCTGGGTGCCATCCCCAATGCAGTGGGCTTACATGTATCATGACAAAGGGAAAAAGAGGTACTCTATTGTCATTCCGTGTCCTTTACATCTTAGACTGAGGTGTCTTCCCTATTCCCCATGCACCCGCTCCTGCACCTCCCATGTTGGTGTCTGCTAAATAATTTTGGATTTGTCAGTATGTTTATTCACCAGATCTATGCATCCTCACCCCAGCCCTGGGGATACTTGCTGCACATTTGCCCCCTCTCAGACATTTCTGTTCCCGTCTGAGAGGTACAGAAAACTTTTGAATGTTTGCCCATTTGCCATACCCAGGTGTTTAATATTCCCTGAAACTGCTCTCAGACCCATCCATTTAAGTTGCTGACTCAGCTGATACTCCATCTTTCAGCACTTCATGAAGCTTCTCCATGGAGTTGGAATTTTGCCCTGGCCACCATTTGAAAGGTGAAGCACATACTTGGACTTATTTTCTCAGGTTGCTAATTCTCTCATTCATGCTTGATGCAGGAATTATAGTAAAACATAGGACTTCACTTCTCATAGAACCATACCAGCATCTACTTGTATTGCTTTTCTATGTCAGTTTCCTATATCATTGTATCTCTTCAGTTAAACTTCACCACCTTCCATGCGAGAGAAGTACCTCTTACATTACAAAATATAGTAGTAGCAAGTCATTTCGTCTTTTACTATTGATATTCCAAGCCAAGTTTTTGAAATGCATCTCAAGGAAGCCTGTAATCTCTCAAAAAGCCCAGGTCCTATAATTCAAAGTTATATCAGACTTCAAGTCCATATCTTGGCCCTGAGTTTGAAAAAAAATCACACCTTTACAACAAACCTAAATAAGTTTTTTTTTTTTTTTTTTTTTTTTGCTTTCCCTGGGATTTTGACTTTCCTTTTCTAAGGTGATGTAAAGAAGAAAGCAATGAGACAATAAGGGTCACGGAGTGAATGGAATGAATGGGTACTCTATTTTTGCAGCAACAAAAAGTAAAATTTCCCTTCACATTGCCAAACTGTGTCTTGTCTTACATCTTCAGTGCTTAGAATAGTTTGATATATAGAAGATAAATAGTAAATATTTGCAAGACAATTTAGTATCTAAAACAATCCTCTGAGTTAGCCAAGGAAGAGAATACTATCACTCTTACTTTGCAGGTGTATAATTAGAAGCTGAAAGTCAATGGCAGAACCAAAATTGGAGCATAGATATTCACACCAAGTCCAGTACTCATTCCTTCATACCACCACTGCTCTTTGAGCCCTTGCATTTTAAATATTCCATGTCCTCTGAAGTGTTGACATACAAAGTTTTTACCATGACTCATACTAAGAAATACATTTTACATAGTAATAAAGTAGCCACATACTTGTATGTATAGCACATATAACTGAGACTAAAATTTTATGAAGTAATAATTATTCTTATAACTGTGATGCACTTCTATATTCTCTATTTTTTTCTCATGTTCTGTTTTACTTCATTTAAAACAATGCTGGTCATGACCCAGTAAAGTGACTTCGTGATCTACTAATGGAAGATGGAAAACACTGTACCAAAACATTACCCTTTCTCTATCTCCTATCCCCCATAAAAAAGAGATTCAAGGCCAATTTTTACTATAGGAAAATACCAGAAACCCAGGCTGAGACTTGATTTATGTATTTTATCTCAATACCAAAGTTTTTATAATCCCAAACAAAATTTCATGAAAAATCCTGTAATATTGCGTTCTGAGGTTTGAGTCATGGAGAGGGGATTTCTGGAATTTATCTTGGAATTTGGTATTGTGGTCTCAGTGGACACAACTATACCTGGCTATCTGCTGGGAGTCATATTGAAGATGAGATGATCACTCTAAATCTAAATCAAAGGATCTCAACCTTGCCTGCATATTAAAATCACCTAGAGAGCGTTTTTTTTTAAATCCCCAAATCTGGGCTCTATGCCAGATCAGTTAAATCAGAATCTCTGGGAGGTAAGAACCAGGAATGAGTTCTATTGCAAACACTCCAGGTAATTTTTAAGTGCTGTCAAGGTTGCGATCCAATGCTCTATGAGAATCAAATATTGTGGTTTCTGCAGTACAATCTCACATTTTTACAACTATTGCTAGGTAGTAAATTATTCTAAAAACAGTCTCTGCAGGATCTATTCTGACATTAATGTGGGTATGGTGATACTGTGTTCAAATTTTTCCAAGAAACTATTTTGAATATTGCATTGCATTGTTTCTGAAAGTATATTCATGCCTATCATACTATATGGATTTAGGAAACTCTGGTTCAGACATTACTATACTCTCTATTAATGGTTTTCTTATTATATTAAATATATATTATTATATATTATATATAATACATATTATATAATATATATTATATTATTGTATATAATATATAATACATATTATATAATATTAATATAATATTAGCCATATAAATGTGTGTGTGTGTGTATATATATATATATATTTTTTTTTTTTTTTTTTTTTTTGAGATGGAGTCTTGCTCTGTCACCCAGGCTGGAGTGCAGTGGTGCGATCTCAGCTCACTGCAGTCTCCGCCTCCCGGGTTCATGCCATTCTCCTGCCTCAGCCTCCCGAGTAGCTGGGACTACAGGCACCCGCCACCACGCCTGGCTAATTTTTTGTATTTTTAGTAGAGACGGGGTTTCACCATGTTAGCCAGAATGGTCTCGATCTCCTGACCTTGTGAGCCACCCGCCTCGGCCTCCCAAAGTGCTGGGATTACAGGCGTGACCCACTGCGCCCGGCCATATATTAATATTATATATATTATTTTATATTATATATAAAAACTACCTGGAGAACTCATTAAAACACAGGTTCCTATGTCACCTCCGGTGACCCTGATCTAGTACACCTAAAGAAGGGTCTTTAAATTTGAATTTTCAACACACTCTCAGAGATGCTTATGCTAGTGCAGGCTTGGTCATTACACTGTGTGGCACTATCCCCCAGTCCTACTTTAAGCTTTGGGTTCTGCAAGACCAAACTTTAGACATAGGTGGCACCCCATACCTAGGGCTACATGATCAGGCCCTGAATAGGAAATATGTGGAGGTACCACGACTGCTTTATGAGTTATTATAATTTTAATATATGAACAACCGTGAAGGTGATCTGTGAATTATCTGTGGACTAAACTAGCTTGTTCACAAAAGATATTTCAAGTACATGATAACTTGCCCGAAAACACACATTTCACAGAACAGAGTCCTGGGAACAAGCACTTCTGGTCCAGGGACACTAAAAGAAAGCCACAGACTAATTCAGCAAGAAAGTGGCCCTTCTATAACATCACTCATTAGCAAAAGTTAATTGTGCTGCCAGGCTCTTCCAGGCACAATCCTTGATAATGATTACTCAGAGGTCAAGACACAATCTCTATCCTCAAACTTCTCACAGTCTAAAATGGCTCACACAAATAAGT
The DNA here is from genome assembly GCF_000001405.40 of Homo sapiens. Taxonomy (NCBI): domain Eukaryota; kingdom Metazoa; phylum Chordata; class Mammalia; order Primates; family Hominidae; genus Homo; species Homo sapiens. The sequence goes on from NC_000009.12 coordinate 104,303,415, forward strand.
AATACGGTATTAACAATGCTAAGATATAGATAAACACAGGTGCTGTATTAGCACAGACAGGAAATAATTAAGGAAGGTCTCTTTGAAGAGGTAGTGTCTTGAACTTAGCTTGGCAAATGGCCGTTTGACATTCTGGGGAGCTCTGAAAAGATTGATGAGCCTGTTGAATCAGAAACTACATTTTATCAAGATTTCTGTGACTCCTGTGCACATTAAAGTTTGAGAAGCATTGATTTAAATAAATTCCAATTTTCACAACTATAAAAATTAGATTTAATACTGACCACATAGATTTTTGTAAAGAACAATTTATAAAGTGAAAGTAACACTGATAGGGTTTGGATCTGTGTCCCCACCCAAATCTCATGTTCAATTGTGATCCCCAATGTTAAGAGATGAGGCTTGGCGGGAGGTGATTGGATCATGGTGGTGGTTTCTCATGAATGGTTTAGCACCATCCCACCACTGCTGTTCTCCTGACAGAATTCTCACAAGATCTGGTTGTTAAAAAGTGTGTAGCAACTATCCAACCCCTCTTCCTCCTGCTCCAGCCATGTAAGACATGCCTGCTTCCCCTTCACCTTCCACAATGATTTAAAGTTTCCTGGCCGGGCGAGGTGGCTCATGCCTGTAATCCCAGCACTTTGGGAGGCTGAGGCGGATGGATCACGAGGTCAGAAGATCGAGACCATCCTGTCTAACACGGTGAAACCCCGTCTCTACTAAAAATACAAAAAAAATTAGCCAGGCATGGTGGCGAGTGCCTGTAGTCCCAGCTACGTGGGATGCTGAGGCAGGAGAATGGCGTGAACCCAGGAGGTGGAGCTTGCAGTGAGCTGAGATCGCGCCACTGCACTCCACCCTGGGCAACACAGTGAGACTCCGTCTCAAAAAAAAAAAAAAAAAGTTTCCTGAGGCCTCCCCAGAAGCTAAGGAGATGCCAGCATCATGCTTCCTGTACAGCCTGCAGAGCCGTGAGCCAATTAAACCTCTTTTCTTTATAAATTACCCTGTCTCAGATATTTCTTTATAACAGTGCAAGAATGAACTTATTTAAATACCAATGTGTATTATCTCTTGAGCCTATTGTTCAATGCAGTAGATTTGGAAGAATATAAAAAAGAAAAGCAAATACTACTTCTTGCATGTTTTCTTTCTCAAATTTTGAATTTTACAAGGTGAAACTCTCTTAAGAAATAAACAATAAGGAGGGCGGTACCAAGATGGCCGACTAGAAGCCACGACGTTTGGAGGCTCCCATCAGAAAAAAACATGGTAAGCATGTGAATCCTTCACTGGCAACCAAGGTATCCAAATTCTCTCATCAAAATTGACTGGAAGACTGGCGTTACCCATGGAGAGAAGGGAAAGCAGTGTGGTGCAGCGGCCCACCTGAGAGCCACACGGGGAAGGGGAATCCCCTCCCCCCAGTCAAGGGAGGCAGTGAGTGAGCGCACTACCTAGCTGAGGAAACTGTGCTTTTTCCACAGAACTGTGCAACCCACGGATCAGAAGATCCCACTCACGAACCCATGCCACCAGAGCCTAGCGTCCCAACCCTGGAACATGCAGATTCTTACAGCCTCTCAGCTGGAATCTGCTTAAGCCTACCAAACTCCTTCAGGGAGGGAGCCATAGCACCTGCTGTGGCTGCCTGCTGTCTAAGCCTTTTGAGCTCCTTCGGGGAGGGTCAGCAGCCAACACTGGGACTGGCAACTGCCTAACAAGATAAGCTCCCTGGGCGGGGGAAGGGCAGCACTCATTTCTATAGCTCCAGGCTGTGCTTTTCCCCTGCTGGGAACAAGGGAGGCTGGATGGCCTGGTCCCAAGACTTGTCCCCACAGCCCAACATACCAGCGGTGGAAGTCTGCAGCCAGAGTGCCTCTTCAGGCTTATCCCCAACCCATCCTTCCTCAGTGGTGGGGGCTTCCCTGCAGGATCCTATAATAATTCCAGTCAGAGGCTCGGGAACAGAATTTGGATCTCCCTGGGCCTGAACCCCTAGCGGAAGGGGTGGCTGCAGTCTCTGTGGACCAGCAGACTTAGCCTCTCCTCCTGGTAGTTCTGAGGAATCCGGGCAGTTCAGATGAGTGGGTTTCCCTCCAGCGAAACACACCCTCTCCACCAAGGAACAAAGTGCTTCATTAAACGAGTCCTGCCACCCAATTGGGTAAGAACCTCCAACGGGGGCTGTCAGACACCCTATACAGGAGCGATCCTAGTGGCATCAGGTTGGTGCCTTCAAGGTCAGAGGTCTCTGAAGAAGGATCAGGCACCCATCTTTGCTGATCTCCAGCCTCCTTGAATGACATCTCCAGGCATGGAAATGAATCAGATGAATAAGGCCTGAAGTGAACCCCCAGGAAACAGCAAAAGCCCTACAGAAGAGGGACTGGACTATTGAAAGAAAAAAAAAACAAGTGGAAAGTGACAACAGCATCAACAAAAACAACAAAAAGGCCCCCACAAAAACCCCATCTAAGGATCAGCAGCCTCAAAGACCAAACTAGACAAACTCATAAGATGAGAAAGAATCAACAACAACAACAAAAAATGCTGAAAACCCAAAAGGCCAGAGTGCCTCTTCTCCTTCAAATGATCGCAACATCTCTCCATCAAGGGCACAGAACTCGATGGACAGAGGATCAGATGGATGAATTGACAGAAGTAGGTGTCAGAGGGTGGGTAATAAAAAACTATCATGAGCTAAAGGAGCATGTTCTAACCCAATGCAAAGAAGCTAAGAACCTTGATAAGAGGTTAGAACAATTGCTAATAGAATAACAAGTTTAGAGAGGAACATAAATGACCCAATGGAGCTGAAAAACACAGTATGAGAACTTCGTGAAGCATACACAGGTATTAACAGCTGAATCGACCAAGAAGAAGAAAGGCTATCAGAGTTTGAAGACCACCTTACTCAAATAAGACATGCAGACAAGAATAGAAAAAAAGAATGAAAAAGAATGAACAAAGCCTCCAAGAAATATGGGGACTTCATAAAAAGACCGAACCTGCAATTGACTGGAGTACCAGAAGGAGATGGGGAGAATGGAAACAAGCTGGAAGACACCCTTCAGGATATTATACAGGATAACTTCCCCAACCTACCAAGACAGGGCAACATGCAAATTCAGGAAATACAGAGAACATCATTAAGATAATCCATGAGAAGATCAACCCCAAGATACATAATAACCAGATTCTCCAAGCTTGAAATGAAGGAAAAACTGTTAAGGGCAGCCAGAGAAAAAGCCAGGTCACCTACAAAGCAGGGAAGCCCATCAGACTAACAGCGAAACTCTCAGTAGAAACTCTACAAGCCAGAAGACATTGGGATCCAATATTCAATATTCTTAAAGAAAAGAATTTTCAACCCAGAATTTCATACCCAGACAAACTAAGCTTTATAAGCAAAGGAGAAATAAAATCCTTTCCAGACAAGCAAATGCTGAGGAATTTCTTTACCACCAGGCCTGCTCTGCAAGAGCTCCTGAAAGAAGCACTACACATAGAAAGGAAAAACTGGTACCAGCCACTGCAAAAACATACCAAAATATAAAGACCAATGACACTATGAAGAAACTGCATCAACTAGTTTGCAAAAGAACCAAACGGCATCATGATGACAGGATCAAACTCACACATAACAATACTAACCTTAAATGTAAATGGGCTAAATGCCCCAATTAAAAGACACAGAGTGGGAAATTGGATAAGGAGTCAAGACCTATCAGTGTGCTGTATTCGGGAGACACATCTTACATGCAGAGACACACACAGGCTCAAAATAAAGGGATGGAGGAAAGTTTACCAAGGAAATGGAAAGCAAACAAACAAACAAACAAACAAAAAGCAGGGGTTGCAATCCTAGTATCTGACAAAGCAGGCTTTAAACCAACAAAAATAAAAAAAGACAAAGAAGGGCTTTATATAACGGTAAAGAGAACAATTCAACAAGAAGATCTAACTATTCTAAATATATATGCACCCATTACAGGAGCACCCAGATTCATAAAACAAGTTCTCAGAGACCTGCAAAGAGACTTAGAATCTCACACAACAATAATGGGAGACTTTAACAACCCACTGTCAGTATTAGGCAGATCAACAAGACAGAAAATTAACAAGGATATTCAGGAATGGAATTCAGCTCTGGATCAAGTAGACCTAGCAGATGTGTACAGAACTCTCTACCCCAAGTCAACAGAATGTACAGTCTTCTCAGTGCCACATGGCACTTATTCTAAAATCAACCACATAATTAGAAGAAAAACACTCCTCAGCAAATGCAAAAGAACTGAAATCATAACAGTCTCTCAGACCACAGTGCAATCAAATTAGAACTAAGGATTAAGAAACTCACTCAAAACCACACAATTTCATGAAAATTGAACAAACTGCTCCTGAATGACTTCTGGACAAATAATGCAATTATGGCAGAAATCAAGAAGTTCTTTGAAACCAATGAGAACAAAGAGAAAATGTGCCAGAATCTCTGGGACACAGCTAAAGCAATGTTTAGAGGGATATTTATAGCACTAAATGCCCACATCAGACAGCTAGAAAGATCTCAAATCAACACCCTAACATCACAATTAAAAGACCTAGAGAGGCAAGAGCAAACTAATCCGAAAGCTAGCAGAAGACAAGAAATAACTAAGATCAGAGAAGAATTGATGGAGATATAGACACAAAAAACCCTCCAAAAAAAAAAATAAATGAATACAGGAGCTAATTTTTTGAAAAAATTGGCAAACTACATAGACCACTAGCTAGACTTATAAAGAAGAAGAGAGAAGGATCAAATAGACACGGTAAAAAATGATAAAGGGAGGCCGGGTGTGGTGGCTCACACCTGTAATCCCAGCACTTTGGGAGGCCAAGGTGGGTGGATCACGAGGTCAGGAGTTTGAGACCAGCCTGGCCAATATGGTGAAACCCCATTTCTACTAAAAATACAAAAGAAAAAACTAGCTGGGCATGGTGGCACAAGCCTGTAGTCCCAGCTACTTGGGAGGCTGAGGCAGGAGAATCACTTGAACCCAGGAGGCGGAGGTTGCAGTGAGCCGAGATTGTGCTACTGCACTCCAGCCTGGGCAATAGAGGGAGACTCCGTCTCAAAGCAAATAAAAAAAAAAAAAAACAAAGGAATATAAAGACGATATCACTACTGACCCCACAGAAATACAAACTACCATCTGAGAATACTATAAACACCCCTAAGTAAATCTAGAAAATCTAGAAGAAATTGATACATTCCTGGACCCATACACCTTCCCAAGACTAAAACAGGAATAAGTCTAATCCCTGAATAAAACAATAATAAGCTCTGAAATTGAGGCGGTAATTAATAGCCTATCAACCAAAAAAAGCCCAGGACCAGACGGATTCACAGCTTAATTCTATCTAAAATACAAAAAGGAACTGGTACCATTCCTTCTGAAACTATTCCAAACAATTAAAAAGAAGGGATTCCTCCCTAACTCTTTTTATGAAGCCCACATCATCCTGATACCAAAACCAGGAAGAGACACACACAAAAAAGAAAATTCCAGACCAATATCCCTGATGAACATCGATGGGAAAATCCTCAATAAAATACTGGCAAACTGAATCCAGCAGCACATCAAAAAGCTTATCCACCACAATCATGTTGGCTTCATCCCTGGGAAGGAAGCCTGGTTCAACATACGCAAATCAGTAAACATAATCCATCACATAAACAGAGCCAAAGACAAAAACCACATGATTATCTCAATAGTTGCAAAAAAGGCCTTCGATAAAATTCAACACCCCTTCATGTTAAAAACTCTCAATAAACTAGGTATTGATGGAACATATCTCAAAATAATAAGAGCTATTTATAACAAACCCACAGTCAATATCATATTGAAGGGGCAAAAGCTGGAAGCATTCCCTTTGAAAACCGGTACAAGACAAGGATGCCCTCTCTCACCACTCCTATTCAATATAGTATTGGAAGTTCTGGCCAGGACAACCAGGCAAGAGAAAGAAATAAAGGGTATTCAAATAGGAAGAGAAAAAGTCAAGTTGTCTCTGCAGATGACATGATTTTATATTTATAAAACCCCATCATCTCAGCCCAAAAACTTCTTGAGCTGATAAGCAACATCAGCAAAGTCTCAGGATACAAAATCAATGTGCAAAAATCACAAGCATTCCTTTATGCTAACAATAGGCAAGGAGACAGCCAAATCATGAACGAACTCCCATTCACACTTGCTACAAAGAGAATAAAATATCTAGGAATACAGCTAACAAGGGATGTGTAGGACCTCTTCAAGGAGAATTACAAACCACTGCTCAAGGAAATAGGAGAGGACACAAACAAATGGAAAAAAAAAAAAAAAAAAACCATGCTTATGGATAAGAAGAATCCATGTCATGAAAATGGCCACACTGCCCAAACTAATTTATAGATTCACTGCTATTCCCATCAAACTACCACTGACATTCTTCACAGAATTAAAAATAACTATTTTAAATTTTATATGGAATCAAAGAAGATCCTGTACAGCCAAGACAATCCTAAGCAAAAAGAACGAAGCTGGAGGCATCATGCTACCAGACTTCAAATTATACTACAAGGCTACAGTAACCAAAACATCATGGTACTGGTACAAAAACAGACATATAGACGAATGGAGCAGAACAGAGGCCTCAGAAATAACACCACACATCTAGAACCATCTGATCTTCAACAAACCTAACAAAAACAAGCAATTGGGAAAGGAGCTCCTATTCAGTGAATGGTGCTGGGAAAACTGGCTAGCCATATGCAGAAAACTGAAACTGGATCCCTTCCTACACCTTATACAAAAATTAACTCAAGATGGATTAAAGACTTAAATATAAATCCAAAACCATAAAATCCCTAGAGGAAAACCTAGGCAATACCATTCAGGACATAGGCACAGGCAAATCCTTCATGACAAAGACGCCAAAATCAATTGCAACAAAAGCCAAAATTGACAACTGGGATCTAATTAAACTAAAGAGCTTCTGCACAGCAAAAGAAACTATCATCAGAGGGATCAGGCAACCTACAGAATGGAAAAAAAATTTTGCAAACTACCTATCTGACAAAGGTCTAGTGTCCAGAATTTACAAGGAACTTAAACATATTTATAAGAAAAAAAAAACCAACATCCTCAGCAAAATGTGAGCAAAGGATATGAACAGACACTTCTCAAAAGAAGACATTTATGCAGCCAACAAACGTATGAAAAAAAGTTCAACATCACTGATCATTTGATAAATGCAAATGAAAAGCACAATGAGATACCATCTCACACCAGTCAGAATGGCAATTATTAAAAAGTCAGGAAACAATAGATGCTGGCGAGGCAGTGGAGAAATAGGAATGATTTTACACTGTTGGTGGGAATGTAAATTATTTCAACCATTGTGGAAGACAGTGTGGCTATTCCTCAAGGATCTAGAACCAGAAATACCCTTTGACCCAGCAATCCCATTACTGGGTATATACCTAAAGGACTTTAAGTCATTCTACTATAAAGAAACATGCACACATATGTTTATTGCAGCACTATTTACAATAGCAAAGACATGGAACCAACCCAAATGCCCATCAATAATAGACTGGACAAAGAAAATATGCTACATATGCACCATGGAATACTATGCAGCCGTAAAAAGTAATGAGATCATGTCATTTGCAGGGACATGGATGAAGCTGGAAGCCATCATCCTCAGCAAACTAACACAGGAATAGAAAACCAAACACTTGCACATTCTCACTCATAAGTGGGAGCTGAACATTGAGAACACGTGGACACAGAGAGGGGAATAACATACACCATGGCGTGTTGGGGAGTAGGGGTAAGTAGAGGGAACTTAGAGGACTGGTCAATAAGTGCAGCAAACCACCATGCACATATATACCTATGTAACAACCTGCACATTCTGCACATGCATCCCTTTTTTAAAAAAAAGAAATAAATTTTAAAAAAGAAATAGACAATGAACGCTTTCTGCTTTTTGGTGAAATCTGTCAATATTCCCCAAGTGATCTGATTAATTCTCTCAGGTTCCAGCAGAAGATATGTGGACCATCTGAGAAACACCAGGGTGAAGCCTGTTGTATGTGTGAGTAGACCTAGCAAACCGATGTACATGGATGGAATGACAATTACTCACTAGGTATAGAAAATTGTTCCTTGTTGCCTTATAACCGATATTTCTGAAAACTCACACACTAATACATACATGTGAGTGCATGCCCACCCTTCTGTGTTACAGTTCATTATTCATCCATTTCAGATTCATCCAAATCTTATTTATTGGGTAGCTACTCTGCGCCTGGCATTGTCCTAGGCTAGAAGTACAACAATGTGATATCTTGATATGGTCCTCAACACACAGAGTCATCTGCTGACACCTGTAGCAAACTTAACAGATCAATGTAATTATTTTCCCTTACAGACTACAACCTACAATTGATCAAACAGTTCCAATACCAATTCAGTATTACTTAATTAATTCACTCATTCATTAATTCATCATTTGCTCAAATACTTGCTGAACACAAACTATTTGTTAAGCACCATCTAGAAGCATCACGCTTGACTATAATTTGACAAACTTAGAAGTAAAAAAGTGACAATTTCCAGTTACAACAACCTTCCATTATGATTTGTTTTGAAGATGAATTCTCTGAGGAATGCCATACTTAAGGTTACATTAATCACAATAGTGTGAATAATGTTTTGCTCAGTAATTGAATGAAGAGTTTTTATTTGAAGCCTTTGCAGCTTCCCTAGAATTATCTTATTTGAATTTCCAAGTTCTTGCCATTTTTCCTTTTCTACTTTGATTTCTTCACAAGGTGATGTGCCACTGTGAGTATTCACTTGTTCCTTCAATTAAAAGTGCAAGGTTATCCCAGAGTTAAATAGTATTATATATCTGTGGAATATAGAGATCTAAAAGCCCTTTATGTTATTGTTCTCATAAATTGTACTAATATTTTGACGAGAGGCTAATTGGGCCAAGTTAAAATATCAATTATTTATTATTAATTTTATTTTATGAAAAAAGTCGGGAGTGAGTTTCCACTCAACTGAGGCAACATAGGACCCGAAGACAGAAGCCTGACAGATGCAGAATAATGTGACGATCCCAGGCTCAGAAGGGAGGGAGGAAGAAAGGAGCTTGGAAAACAGTGACGAAAGTTAGAGAGAAAGTAGCTTCTGGGTCCTCCTTAGCAAATCCAAAAAGGGCAGATAATTTCTGCATGTGAACTAGAAAGTATAAGAAAGCTTGTGAGTATTAGAATTGGATTCTTTTGTAATACTGCAATATGACAAGTGGTTTAAATAATTTTACCTTCCAAATGTAATGTCATATAGATAGGAGAAAGGCTCTAAAGAAATATTCCACAATGTTATCTTTGTAACTAACCCAGAAAGATGAGATCACTAGATAGTCTCCCTTACTCTTGAATTCTCTGTTGTCCACAGTGTGCATGTTTTGATCTAATAAGAAAAAAAAAATCAATACTCATTTTAAAATGAAATGCTCTCTTCTTTTCCTGTCTTCAGAAATAATCACTTTCCAGTTTTGAGTAGGACTAAGTTTATTGCAAAGGAAAATTTTTTAGTTTTAAGTGAGCTTGTAACTGAAATCATGCCTTCCATTTCAATTTCTCTCTTAAAAATGGAATGCAGAGCTTTTTGATTTGGAAAATGTATTTGTCAGCTATTCCCAAGACTAAGCACTTTGTGGTGCCCCTCCCTTTTTAACTGCAAAATAATATTATCACTTCCCAACAGCCCATTCTTATCAGGGATTAGCTGGCTTTACCTCCACAACCACCAGTTCCTGGTAAACAGAAAAACAAGTAAATAAATAAAAATACCAACAATTCAGAAACGTAAATACCACCTACCTCCACTACAGGATGTGCTATGGGTGACAGGATAATTTTACAGCCTGTAAAAATGCAGAGGATATAGCTAAGAAAGTATTTCATGTGCAAAACATTGAAAAGGTACAGGGGTCTCAATGGACTAGAGCAACTGTTACCCAGGATATGGCAGTCTGGCCCCTAAATCTCTTCATACTAAGATAACCATACAAAAACACCTGGAGATAAGCACATTAGTCTGGATTAGTTGCCTGCTAGGTCCCACGGGAAGGATCCTACTCATTCTTCAGTATCATGACCATGGGTGCTGATCCTCTTGACAACCTGCCCTGGCTCTGCTGTCAATTACCCTCCCTGCTATATTACTTCTGTGACTTATCCGTGCTTCTGTTGCTGGTTTTACTCATAATCATTTCTTTATGTGACAATCTCTCTATCCAGCTGTAAGCACCCCACATTTAGGAAAATACATTCCCTGTGTCTCTGTCCTCAGAGACCAGCTCTTGAAGTGCAACCTAATGATAATCAGTACACATTCGTAGAGTTGAGCTAAAATCCCTGAGGACTACTTCTGGCCTCCAGGCCTGCCTACAGGCTACCACTTACTTAATAAGCTGTTGTACTGAACAGATGGATTTCAAACCCTAGAAATCCAGTTCTAGAGTATTCGCTTTTAACCACTAGGCTAGCCCGCCTCAAGATTTCCCCTCTTAGGAAAAGTAAGTAGAAGGCTTTGAAACATAATCTTTTTAAGCTACACACCTAGGACTTCTCTTAGGTCATGTTCTCTCACTTGAGATATCTTTATATTTTGAAGGATTTATCCAATTCATGCTGATATTGATAACACTGAACCATAATTACTAGTGTCTGCATTTCAAATCTTGACTATTCTCTCACCTTCCTATGAACCCTCTATAAGCTACTCACTGTGTGAGGCTCCTGCCTTGCAGTCTCACAACACGAATCCTTAGCAATCCTTTTAAGTGTTATACTTACAACAAAACTATAACAGTCCAGTCACTGTAGTATTCACACAGTAGGGATCTCAGAACACAGCCATAAAAGGCTGACTCTTTAATACTTTCTCACTGTGATGGCTCACTCAGGACTGTCCCGTATGGTCTTCACTGCCTCATATTCCAGCCACATCCTAAGACTTCAAGGTGGCACATAAATTAATGTTCCTTCCAAAATCCTATTAAATTGTTAGTATATTGAGGATAACCCATATATAGTCCCAATCTGAGAATGGGGCTATCAGTGATCAGATATATTAACGAATTTTTATAATATGGAAAGCAGTATCGATTATTCTGATAAAACCAGAACAGAGAAAGCAAAAAGCCCAGAACACAAGTCAAGTAATCCATAGTTGAAGAGGAAGCTATGGACAAAGACCCCCAACTCGGTCATGATGCAGAAGTTTAAGTAATTAGAGAACTGTACAGAACAGCCAGACCAGTTATCCCTCTACTATCCACCCCAACACACACACACACACACACACACACACACACACACACACACACACACACACACACACACACAGTGAGTCAGGAATAAAGGCCTTTTGCCAAGGCAAAGGTAAAATCTCTAATAATAGTGTTCCTGCCCCAGAGTTAAAGCTCTCTTTAAGGTATCCGGCCTGTGTTTTCCCATTCATACAAATTGGGACAGGTTGACACACCGTGTCCATGAACAAAGAGTTCAAGTCATTACCCTGAGCAGTCTCATCTGGGAACATTTACATTTGATGTTCCCTCGCTTGGCATGTTCTTTATCTGATTTACACATGGCTTTCTTCTTTCTTCCTTTGGGCCTCTGCTCAAACTGTCATCATACTAATAAAGCCTTCTATGACCAACCTATATGAAACAGTCACAAATCTTTCTTCATTCACACCAGTATCTAGCCTCCTTACTCAGCTTTATTTTTACTACCTGAATTATTATTTTTATTTATTTGTTTACTTGTTATCTCCCTCTACTAAAACATAAGCTTCATGAGTGTAAGGAGTTGATTTGTTCACTGCTGATTTTCTGATGTTTATGACACTATCTGGCATTCAGTAGGTATTCAACAAATAATTATTGACTATATGAATGAATGAACCCAGGAATATGACAAGAAAGCTCAAGATGCCAGCTGTTTTGTGGGTAAAACAAAAGGCCTAAAATAGTGTAAAAATTTACAGGGTTCTGAGAATAATGTCTTCATGAAAAGTGGATTCCATTAAACCTAGAGCAACTAGAAACTCTTAATATTTTGAAGGTATATAGTTGTTATGCTCACCTAGAAAAGCAAAAGCACTTAGCATCTCCAGAAATAAAGAGATATATGCAAGAACATCATAGTCCAAATATAAACTAAAATGCTAAATGCATTTTAGCTGAAATGCATCATGACTGAACAATAAAGAGAGTGAAATAAAAAAGACTCCGTTTGACTTTTATGCTTAGAATATTCAGCCTCCAGTAGCACAGGTTTAATGTCACAGAATTGTTGACTCTTATTTTCTCCTATGTATCCCAGCCCACCAAAGTAAGAAGAACCTCCTAAGTAATAGCTGAGCAGATTGCTTCATTCTCAGACCGGACTATAAAGTTCCCAGTGGTGCAATCTTTATCTTTCCTAGTCCATGGCTTCTGCAGGAACTTCACTACAAGTATGTACTCACTAGCTATGTGTGGCTATTTAACATTAGCCCTCCCCCTCCCCCTCCCCTCCCCCTCCTCCTCCCCCTCTCCCTCCCCTTCTCCCTCTCCCATTACCGAGGCTGGACTGTACTGCCGTGGTCTCGGCTCGCTGCAGCCTCCCTGCCCCGGGCTCCCCATGGTTCTCCTGCCTCAGCCTGCCCAGTGCCTGGGACTGCAGGCGCGCGCCGCCACGCCTGACTGGTTTTTGTATTTTTGGAGGAGACGGGGTTTCACCCTGTTGACCGGGCTGGTCTCCGGCTCCTGACCTCGAGTGGTCTGCCCCCCTCGGCCTGCCGGGGTGCCGGGATTGCAGACTGAGTCTCGCTCACTCAATGCTCAGTGTTGCCCAGGCTGGAGTGCAGTGGCATGATCGCAGCTCGCCACAACCTCCACCTTCCAGCCGCCTGCCTTGGCCTCCCAAAGTGCTAAGATTACAGCCTCTGTCCAGCCGCCACCCCGTCTGGGAAGTGGGGAGCGTCTCTGCCCGGCCGCCCATTGTCTGGGATGTGGGGAGCCCCTCTGCCCGGCCACCCCATCTGGGAAGTGAGGAGCGCCTCTGCCCGGCCGCCCCATCTGGGAAGTGGGCGCCTCTGCCCGGTCGCCCCATCTGGGAGGTGAGGGGCGCCTCTGCCCGGCCGCCCCATCTGGGAGGTGAGGAGCGCCTCTGCCCAGCCACCCCGTCTGGGAGGTGGGACCGCCTCTGCCCGGCCGCCCCGTCTGGGAGGTGAGGAGCGCCTCTGCCCAGCCACCCCGTCTGGGAGGCAAGGTGCGCCTCTGCCCGGCTGCCCAGTCTGGGAAGTGAGGAGCGCCTCTGCCGGACCACCCTGTCTGGAAAGTGAGGAGCGCCTCTGCCTGGCCGCCCCATCTGGGAGGTGTACCCAAAAGCTCCGAAGAGACAGCGACCATCGAGAATGGGCCATGATGACGATGGCGGTTTCATTGAAAAGAAAGGGGGGAGATGTGGGGAAAAGAAAGAGAGATCAGATTGTTACTGTGTCTGTGTAGAAAGAAGTTGACATAGGAGACTCCATTTTGTTCTGTACTAAGAAAAATTCTTCTGCCTTGGGATGCTGTTAATCTATAACCTTACCCCCAACCCATTGCTCTCTGAAACTGGTGCTGTGTCAACTCAGGGTTAAATGGATTAAGGGTGGTGCAAGATGTGCTTTGTTAAACAGATGCTTGAAGGCAGCATGCTGGTTAAGAGTCATCACCACTCCCTAATCTCAAGTACCCAGGGACACAAACACTGTGGAAGGCCACAGGGACCTCTGCCTAGGAAAACCAGAGACCTTTGTTCACGTGTTTATCTGCTGACCTTCTCTCCACTATTATCCTATGACCCTGCCACATCCCCCTCTCCGAGAAACACCCAAGAATGATCAATAAATACTAAAAAAAAAAAAAAAAAAAAAAAAATTAGTGCAGTTAAAATTATATAAAGCTAGTTCCCTTTCTAGTCACAATAGCCACCTCTTTTTTTTTTTTTTTTTTTTGTTTGAGACAGGGTCTCACTCTGTCACCCAGGCTGGAGTGCAGTGATACAATCTTGGCTCACTGCAACCTCTGCTTCCTGGGTTCAAGGGATTCTCATGCCTCAGCTTCCCAAGTCGCTGGGATTATAGCTGTGTGCCACCACGCCTGGCTCATTTTTTTTGTATTTTTAGTAGAGATGGGGTTTCACCATGTTGGCCAGCCTGGTCTCAAACTCCTGACCTCAAATGATCCACCTGCCTCAGGCTCCCAAAGTGCTGGGATTACAGGTGTGAGCCACCTCGCCCAGCCACTAGCCGCATTTTGAGTACTCAATAGCCACAAGTGGCTCATGACTACCGTCACATAGATAGACAGACAGACAGATAGATAGATAGATAGATAGATAGATAGATAGATAGATAGACAGACAGATACATACATACATACATACATACGTAAAATTGAACAGTGAAGAAATAGAACATTTCCATCATTGAAGAAACTCCTATTATTCCAACAAATGATGGAGAACAGTAGAAAAAAATGAGTCAAAAAAGATAGGCAACAGTGCATCCTGGTATTTACACATGATTGGACAAGCAACATGTCTGCAGTTGCCAATACCTTCTCAGCTAGGAAAGCCTGGATTTTTACATGTTTATACAAAATCACAAGCCCGTCTCCCCTTTGTTTTGCACCACTGAAATTCTTGCTTAGAATCTAGCTCCATATTTATGGTATTTTATGAGGCAATATAATATGGATGAGAAACAATCTTGTGTTTCTGTTCTATTTTGGGTAGTAACCCTTAATAATGCTAAGACTGCAGGATGTCCTTCAAGTGTTTTGTAAAACATATTTCTGTGATCAAAATTATGTAAAAGTAGTGTTTATTTTCTAAGTGTTGCTCCTGTTTCATTGTATTATCTTTTGAATTTTGGAAGAGGCATATTCTTCAGATTGATAGATTTAATTATTTCTAAAATACAATTGGAACTTGAAAGTTAGAGCTTATTTTATTATTGACTTTATTTCCCATCAAGATACATTTCTTTCTCTGCTAGGAATCACAATATTTGGTTCTCTATTGAATAACATTTGCATAGTAATAATTTTGTAAATGCAGTTTATTAATCTTTTAAAAGCTAAACCATAGAAAAAGCATTGAAGGTAATTATAATTATAGAAGGGAATTCAAAGTCAGGCTGGTAGCTTAAAATCATCCACAGAAATAGTAAAATGCTACAGATCAGCCCTCTGCTTCCTCCACCACCGAGTCAGTTTATCATCGAACCACTGGGCCTGAGGCTCTACAAGTTTGTAAGTTTATGATCTAAATGGTAAATATCAAAGAATAACCTATATTATGACAAAGAGAAATGGAGATTTACATATATATTACTTAGAGTAAGAAATGAAACCAATAGAATTAAGTAACAATATAAACAACAAAAGTAGGAGGGACGTAGTAATACAAGTCAACCAAATTCCTCATCTTTCGTAGGCAAAGTTTATAGTTACTATGTAAAACTGATAAATTGGGAAAAGTAGATTGCAGCATACTGTTTAGAATAATTGTGTTAAGAGAAGGTTTAGGGAAAGAAGACAGAAGTAAATTTCTTTTCATTTAATATTGCTTCACACTGTCTGAACTTTTATTACATGCATATGTTATTTTAACAAATGTAAAACTTCCAAAATAAGACACATATTAACTACCATATTGACCTCATTCCACCAAATCTTCCATATGAATATGTAAATTGTGACTGATCTTAAACTGTTAAAGGAAAATAAAGGAACAAAAACATTTATCAGGTATATGCCATGTGTACTGTTCTAGGAGTTTCTATATTCATTAATTCTTAACTGTTAAACCCTCTCATGTCCCTGTGAAGCGGATATTATGCAAGAGCACTCTTGAAATGTAGCAACCTGCAAAGAGAAGGGGTTATATTTGGGGCAGATTTTTATACAGTCCCTACGATAATGGGGACACTCAATATTAACTGTGTATAAAACTGACTTTATCAGTGATGTTAGATGTGGAACTACATTTCCCATTGAAGATTCCTTCATTCTTGTTAAAGAATAAAGACTATGAGATGTGAATAGAAGGGGAAAGTATATTATTGTTTGATCACGCTTGCTTGGCCACAGGTGGGCAAGCAGATTGACCTGTCCATCCAAGCCGAGTAATTCTTCACTCCTTCACTTTTTGTTTATGACTTTATTTCTTCATCCTTGGCAAGAGCAGAAAGTAAATCATGGCATTTCTTGGCTGAAAGGCAGTGAAACAGCTGTGAGACCCTTGAGATATTGTTTACTTTACTGCCTCCTGATACACACTCAGTCACTTTTGCTGGACATGCTTGATGGCTTTCGTTCATACAGTTAGCTGTTCCATCTGCTCCACCAATTGATGAAGAGGCAGAGAGTGGCTGCATTAAGCTACATTTATTAGTTCATTCATTAAAAATTTATGAGCACTTACCGTCTGCCAGATACTGAGGCAGCTGCAAATAGGAACAAATCAGGAACCCTACTCTTAAGGACCTAACAATCTAGTAAGGGAAAACAGACATGTAAATATTAATCATTACACAGTGAGAATGAGTACTAAAAGAGGTATGCATAATATAAAAACAGAAAAAAATAAGTTTGTATGGGAGAAAAGTGGAGAGAGGCAAACTCAATTGCGAGGTAATTATGACAGGCCATCTGACTTCCAGAGCTACCCATATGTGGGAAGCTGAAAAATCACCCCCTAAAGATATTACTTCCTAATCCCTGGAACCTGTAAATGTTATTTTATATGGAAACTGGGTCTTCACAGATATGATTAAATTAAGGGTTTTGAGATTGGGAGAAGATCCCGGATTCTCAGTGTGGTTCCTAAATGCAGTCCCATAAGGAGAAGGTAATTTGAGGATGAAGGCAAAGATCAGAGTGATACAGCCACAGGCCAAAGAATGCCAACCACCACCAGAAGAGGAAAGGAATGGCTTATCCTTTACAGGGAGGATAGCTCTAGCGACACCTTAATTGTGATTCAGTGATACTGATTTCAGGCTTCTGGCCTCTAGAACTCTGAGAGAAAAAAGTGTGTTGTTTGAAGTCACCCAGTTTGCAGGGATTTGTTACAGCAGCCACAGGAGACGAGTATACCCTGGGATCAGCTGAGGCTTTCTTACAATTGCATTTGAGTTCAACTTCTCTTTCTGCCAATCCTGTGAAACACACTAAGCCAAGTCTAAAGTAGTCATTCTCTTAGGGTCTAGCTTTTTGTGGCTTAGGTCAAAACTTTAGGATATATAAGAATTTGTCAAGAAGAGGAAAGTGATAGGTAAATGTATGCATCAATTTGACTGGGCTAATAAGGGATACTTGGATAGCTGGTAAAACATTATTTCTAGGTGTGTCAGTGAGGGTGTTTCTGGAAGAGATTAGCATTTGAATCTGCAGACTGAAAAAGAAAGATTGCCATCACCAAAACCAGCGGGCATCATCCAGTCTGTTGAGGGCCCAAATAGAACAAAAAGGTAGAGAAAGAGCAAATTTTCTCTCTCTGGTTGAGCTGGGACATCCAGATTCTCCTGCCCTCAGACATCAGCATTCCTGAGTCTTAGGTCTTCGGCGCAGACTAAGATACCATCATCTCCCCTGGTTCTCAGGCCTTCGGTCTTGTACTAGAACAACTCTACTGGCTTTCCTGGTTTTCTAGCTTACAGATGGCAGATCTTGGGAATTCTCGCCTGCCATAATCATGTGAGCCAATTCTTCATAATAAATACTTTTCTATATACAGTACTTATATATATTCTATTGGTTCTGTCTCTTTGGCAAACTCTAGAGAAAGGGGAAATGGTCAGGGAAGGAACAATGTGTAAAAGCATGAGAGAACCCAGTGAAGTTGAAGACCTCAGGGTCATTTAGGACATAGATGTTATGGTGAGCCTCACATGTTGAAGCTGTGCTCAGGGTATCCTTATGGCCTAATTTCCTGTTTTGTTTTTTACTTCTATCAAGCCCAGACCTGACACTAGAAGAGTGGGCCCACCTCATGCAAGGCTTTTCATTTTATGTTTGGATATTATTCTTAAAGCAGTGGGGGTAATATTGAGCAACTGTTTTAACATGATCCGATTGTGTGTTTCAAGATCATTCATCTGCAGTGTGTAAACACGCGTGAAGGAAAGAAGAGCAGAGGTAACAGGAGTACGATGAATGACAAATGCAAAGGGGAACAAGGCCACATGAACTCGGTATATGTTTCATGGAATTTGAAAGGAAACAACTTCAAAAAACACCTGTGATCAGTTAGTGCTGACCTTGAGCCTCATAACTAAATGCTTAGAGGCTAAAAATGTGAGAGGGAGACAATAGTTCTGAGGACAATGTATCTTTGATTATGGCTGGCAGAAAGTTGTAGGGATCTGGATCATTTGCCTGGCTTTGAATAAGATCTGCCACTTATTCATAAAATATTGTTAAGCAAGTTTTATGAACTATGTTTGCATTTTTCACATCTATATCATAAAGATAGTGATGATACTTATTTTATGGGAGTTATTGTGGGAATTAAATGAATTAACATATGTAAAGCACTGAGAAGACTACTTGGCACATAGAAAATGCTTAATAACATTAGGTATTATTAGTCCAGTAGTTGCCTCAAATGTTTTATAGTAGGGAGAGCTGCTTTTCATTTATTAGAGCCCTGAAATCTCAGGAACTAGTAAGGAGAAAATAATATGTTTATTAAAGTTGCTGATTAAAGTTGGAAGAGATACATCAATACCAGAAACTTCACTTCCTGCCCAGCCCCCATTCTAACTTCCTTCTCCTCCTTCCCCGGTGAGAATGGTAAGCTAGGCAAGGAAATGCTATTTGCTTAGAACTAAATGGAGTATCCCTTGTCATCTTGGCAAATCACCCATCTAAAACTGAGTTTATACTACCGTCGGTCTCATCCTTTGGTTCCAGCACTGGACTTGAACACCTCCAGTAATCGGAAACACAAACAGTCCTTATCCTCATAAATTCACAGTCTAGTGGAGGACACAGCCCAAAATGAACAATTATGTACTTATATAACAGCATAATAAATGGCATAATAGAAGCTGACTTGAGGGTGCTATGGGAGCGAAGAGGAAAGAAGAACTAATTCACCTTGGGGACGCAGGCCAGGTTTCACCAATACAATTTATCTGTGATGAATCTTAGAGAATGAAGCTTTTCTTGCCAGGCAGAGAAGTTGGGACAGGCATATTTGATCAAAAAAGGAACAGCCAACAAAGTCACAGGGCTGGAAGGAGCCCAGCTTGTTTGGAAAATGTTGGTAGCTGGAACATAGCTTGAGCAGCGCAAGGAAGTGTGGCAGCTTGGCAAAGGAAGTAGGCTGAAAATTCTACAGAGCAATGCCAAGGTCTTCATAACTATCCTGAAGTTAAAGAGAGAGTCTGAAGATTCCTAAAAGAAGAGAAACATAATCAGATTGGGGGTTAGTAAATTTCTGTGGTGGTACCACAGATGGAAAAGAGCAAAACTATTGCAAAGCCTCCTGAACAGAATGAGGAAGTAAAGTCTCTTTGAGACTCAAAACTTAAAACCACGGTGATAGAGCCAATATTATATTAATATTTAAAATGCAAAACCCAAAATAAAAGGTCACTAAATGCTCTCCTCAGGATTCTGCATATAACTATGGAATTTTTCAGTTGCCCCAAAATTTTCTATTTATTTATATTTTCTTTATGTTTATTTCACTCTGAAGCACCATTTTATAGACACACAACTTCAGAAGACATGCTTGCCTTTTAGGTCAAAACAAATAAAGAAGTGAAAAGATCAAACCAAGAAAACTGGTCTTGTTTTGTTTTTAGTGTGAATGGCTAGAAAGGCAAAGTGTATATTGTCTGAAAAGAATTGCACTATCAATCTCTACAAATGTTTCTGTTCCTGTGAAAAGTCAGTGCACATTACTCAACATATGTGCCCATCAGTCTCTACTAGCTTGAGCTGAGGGTGGTCTGATAAAATTTCCCAAAAGAATAATATGTGCTAAAATGTCACTTCCTAAAACTGAGGATTTTAATTCACAAAGGCAAATTTAAAGCACAAATTTGTAATTAAAACAAAACAAAAACTTAGTCAATATGCAATATATTTTGGAAGTAAACTGTATTAATAGTGTTTTACAGGTTTTTCTTTTCCTGAAGTTATTAAGTATTCAAATAATATTTAGTGCTTTTTTTGTTATAAGCTGATTGCATGCTTACAGTAAAACACTCACAATTAAAGTATAAAGGAGAAAATAAAAAATTATTCATAAAGGCCAGACCCAGAAATGTCCATCATAAATATTTTATACAATCCTTCCATTCACACACATATATAATATTATATATTTATCACTTATTTCTATTCATTTAAATTATGCCATGAGCATTTTCCTATAATACTCAATATTCTCTGAAAACAATATTTTAATAGCTGTATAATATTACACCACATTTCTAGTCCATAAATTATGTAACTATTAACTTATAGCTGAGCATTTTGGTTGCTTCCAATTTTCTATATTTTAAGAATTCTGCAACTTTCATTCTTGAACATAAATCATTCTTCGCATCCTTACATCTCTTGTGATTCCTTAAGGGCAAAATCTTAGAACTGGAATTGTTGGGTCAAAGTATAAGTTACATTGTTAAAACTTTTGCCACTTACTGCCAGATTGCTTCAGGGGCAGGTTTAGAACTGGAATTGTTGGGTCAAAGTATAAGTTACATTGTTAAAACTTTTGCCACTTACTGCCAGATTGCTTCAGGGGCAGGTTTAGAACTGGAATTGTTGGGTCAAAGTATAAGTTACATTGTTAAAACTTTTGCCACTTACTGCCAGATTGCTTCAGGGGCAGGTTTAGAACTGGAATTGTTGGGTCAAAGTATAAGTTACATTGTTAAAACTTTTGCCACTTACTGCCAAACTGCTTCAGGGGCAGGTTTTGCTAATTTGTAGTTGCATCGGGAGTGCATAGCTTGACAGACAAAAAACATGGTATATAATTAAGAATTACTTTCTCTTATTAAATGTAAAGTGGGATGTTTTCATAATATTTACTGGACAATTATATTCTGTGAATTGTTTCCCCATGTCCTATTGCAGGTTTCCTATTGAAATGTTTGTCTTCTTCATCTGCTTTCTCTTTTAAACTAAGGAAGAAGGGGAGTTTTCTTTGTATTATAGATACTTGGGGATGCTCAGGAATGCCCCTAAAGTGGAAAATTTGGGCTTTCCTTTTTCTTTGCATGCTGGTTAGGGAGTTTGGTCTAGACTCTAGATCATGTTGCCTGTGGAAACCAACCTAAGGACACCTTGGTTAAGATCAAGACCACCAAGCACAGGATAATCATATTATGCCCATATTTTAGTCTCCTTGTCATACTTGTTTGCAATATTTTCCCCATATTTTGTTTGCCTTATTTTATTATCTCCTTTTGAAATAAAAATATACTTTATATTGCAGTGTAGTATTCCTTTAGAATATATGCCTAATATTTTTGTTTCCTTGCACAAATTATAGCTATATGTATTAAATATATATCTCTCATCTTAAGTAAATGAAATAGTCATTAATGCACTAATGTTTCTAGTATAATTGTTTTATGCTTTACTTTTTGTTTTACTTTGTAGTTTTTGCTTTATTTAAATGATATTTATATTTGGGGTTCACTTTGGTTAACTGTATAAATGCCTTTTCTTCATGCCTGTAATCCCAGCACTTTGGGAGGCAAAGGCAGGCAGATCACGGGGTCAGGAGATTGAGAATATCCTGGCTAACACGGTGAAACCCCATCTCTACTACAAATACAAAACATTAGCCGGGCGTGGTGGTGGGCGCCTGTAGTCCCAGCTACTCAGGAGGCTGAGGCAGGAGAATGGTATGAACCCGGGAGGCGGAGCTTGCAGTGAGCAGAGATCACGCCACTGCACTCCAGCCTGGGCGACAGAGCGAGACTCAGTCTCAAAGGAAAAAAAAAAAAAATGCCTTTTCTTCAAAACACTTAAACATCTTTTTCAACACCAAACTTCACTGACTATACCTATTGCCATATTTAAGGTATTTGCTGAAGGTTTTTGGAAATTGTTCTAAAATTGAAAGGAGAGTGGTAGTGTTGGTAAAGATATAATCAGGGAGTGGGATTCTTTCACTCCTTGCTGTAGCTAGTTTTCCCCTTGAGTATGGAAAATTTAAAAGGTTACACAAATTTTGCCACTTCAAAGATTATATTCATTCTGAGGACCTCTCCTATTTATTTTGAAATTCATATTACTCTTACTAAGATTTCTAATTAACTAGTACCTTAGCTGAATTATGCTGAGTTTTGCTTAATCCATGTTTGTGGTTGTATTACTAGACATCCTATGTTAACTTGAAAATAAATTTCACCTAATATTAATTGCCTCTCTCTGAAGAATTAGTGTAAGAGTGTATTCATTTTGGGAGCAGAACATTCTCAGTTTACCCCCTACCCTACACTTAAATTATGCCTTTCCTGGGTTATTCCTTTTAGTTCTCTTGGTTACCCTAACAATTTTTGAATAGTACTTTAAGTAGCCGATGAGGTAAATACCCCTTCATTTTTTAAATTTAACTATTTATTTCAGTTTACTCTTAAAATCTATAATTTTGAAAAGTCAGTAAAGTCCCTAAGGGGTACTGATTGCAATATATAAATTAATTTATAAAAAATAACAAAAACCTCTTTACATTATGGAGTTTTCTTATGTAGGAATATAAATTCAAATATTTCCTGGATAATGTTTTGACAGACCTTGATATTGGACTTCCATTTTTTTCAACAGCAAAATTCCTCACTTTTATTTAAAATAAATGTTACAAATAATTGTGAAAAAATAAATTTCACAACTAAGTATACAGAAAAGTAACATGTATACTTTATATGGAAATCCACATACAAGTTTAGTTGATTAGATGCCAGTTATGGAACTGGCAAAACTGAGAACTTGGTGTTATGCATATTTCAAATGTTTACAACCTGAAATCAAAAACACAAAATTCAGTCTCCTTAATGGGCATGTAAGAAAATTAAATATATCCCTGAAACAGTACAATACAGAGCTCACAAGCTATTGTAGTTAACAAATATTTTTTAAAATGCTATGTGCCTTTCATTCTCAAAAATGCTAGTGTGTAACTATTTTTATAAATGGTGGGGAGAGAAAACTATGGTGAGAAAGATAAGTGGAAATGACAGACTAAGGCATTACGGCATTATGCTGTTATACTAAAAGGTGTTGCCAGAGGACACCTTGGGTACCACTTGTTGAAAGAGATTTTGAGTGTTTCTCTTCATATACTGTAACTTAAATAACATTTTCTACCATGACTAATTTTTAAAGTCTATGTATAACTTTGTTCCCTACACATAAAAGAGAAATTTAGTTTTCACTCAGAATTAAAGCAGATTTTCCTCATTCTTGAAACCCAGTCATACCCCCTGTGAAGGCTGGCAACTCCCATTATTGACACCACAAAGGCCTCTGCTCAAGGGGTGGATCTGGCAGAGGCGTTTGAACCAGAGCAACTTCATCTTGAGTGACGGGGTAGGTAAAATAAGGCTGGGCTGCATTTCCAGATAGTTAAGGCATTCTAAGTCACAGGATGAGACAGAAGGTCAGCACAAGATAAATGTTGATAAGACAGACTGCAGTAAAAAAGCCAGCTAAAACCCACCAAAACCAAGATGGCCAAGAGAGTGACCTCTAGTCATCCTCACTGCTACAGTCTCGCCAGCACCATGACTGTTTACAAATGCCATGGCAGCATCAGGAAGTTACCCTATATGGTCTAAAAAGGGGAGGTATGAATAATCCACCCCTCATTTAGCACATCATCAAGAAATAAACAAACAAATGGACAACTAGCAGCCCTTGGGGATGCTCTGTCTATAGAGTAGCCATTCTTTTATTCCTTTCCTTTACTCTGTGGACTCGCCCTGAATTCTTTCTTGTGCAAGATCCAAGAACCCTCTCTTGGGGTCTGGATCTGGACCCCTTTCCTGTAACAGATCTGTTGTTTGCTTCAGTTCTAACAGCTACACCACAGAAGCAGGGACACACAAGAATGTATGCATACAAAGCCAAACAAAACTACAGGCATGGAAAAAATCACAATGCTGAATTTACAGAAGGTAAAATGTCTACACTGTGTTTGCTATCACAGTTGTATCTTTGTTCTTCATGTTCAGACTGGAGTAGGAATTTCTTGCTCCTTTTCTAAGGCAAGCTGCTGTTATTATTATGCTATTTAAATCTTGTTATAACAACTAATATTTACACATTTGTTCATTTCGCTACTGTAGACTCAATAAAATGACAGAATCTGTTGCCAAGAACAAATTTCAGTTTGTTCATCCTTGTCTCAACCTGGTCCCTTAGTCCATACAGAGGCCACCAAATCTTAAGCATAAAGGATGCAGTTGGAACATCAAAAGTTAAACTTCACAGTTGAATTAAAGATAACAGGCCAACAATCAGGCACAAATTGTTCAAAGCCACTTGAATATTTACTTTGCCTTGATGATTTTCCTTTTAATACTGGAAATAAGAAACCTTCCTTAAGAAAGCAAACAGCCACATATAGCTTTAAGACCAAGGGTCACCCAGGGCAGTCTCTCCAACCTGTTCCCCACAAGGTCAACATTCCAGCCCCAGAGGAGTTTGAGGGGCATAGCCAGTGCTTAACAGGGACAATCAGGCGTGGGGTGTTGACTGCACACACTTGTAAAGAGTCACAGCTTGTCACTGGTCATTGCTAGAAACTGCACTTAGACATCTTGGATGCGCCACCCTTGGGGTTGAATAGGAATCTGTAGTAGATGCCATCTGCACAAATCACAATGACAGCATTTGACTCTGTTCCAAAAGCACAAATGCATGGCAAACCTGAAGGAATCTGAGAGTTGGAAAAATTCCACTTGCAACTGAAGTATTTTGGAAGAAAACTGGCTCTAGTTTGAACACCGAACTTTTTGGATTTTCAGCAGCAAAAAAAAAAAAAAAAAAAAAAAAAAAAAAAAAAAAAAAAGTACTGTGCCATGGTCGTCGGATACTCCGATGAGGGAAGCTTCCCAATTGAAGTTGATGCAATAAATATTTGCCACTTTGTGATCTTTTTCATAGTTCCTGGATAAAAGGCCCTGATGCAGTAGCAAATATTCTTATAAGGGTCTGTTTTTTCGAGATGTGGTTGCAATTCTTGTTCCCTACTGGTGGTTGAGGGCCACCAGTTTAGGACGTCCTTGTGTGCAAGAAGGTCTACAGGTGGCTTCTTGGTGCTAGCAAGACCACAAGCTTCACATAACTCATGTGTGTGATGGGGGAGGTCACGAGAGAGCTGTTACTATCTACTGGGACACAAGGCACAAAGGCCTTTAAGGTTAGAGCAGGTTTCCAAGACGTGTGACTGATGGGCACTGCATATCCTTGTAAATACTTTAATCAAGGAACTCAAAACGACCACAATTCTATCTTGTCACAATTTGACCGCCTTAACTTCTGTAGAAACTTTTACTTCAATAACAGTCCTTTTCTGGTCATCCCAGATTGTCGCTTTACCGGGAGGCTATTTTCAGCTTTTCCCCACTGGCCACTAAAGCAAGCTAAATAGCTACTGTGAAATAATATTTCAACATGGCCAACTCCTTCTTCTAGAAATTCTTTTTTTCTCTTCTTCTTTTTTTTTTTAAATGGATCGGCATTATAGATTCGGAATCCAGTTTCCATTCCATGTATACGCATCCGTGGTCCCTGTGGAAGCAGGGGTAGTGCCGTCAGTTGCAGTGGGGGTTACACAGTAAGAGGTTCATGGCACCGCACAGGCAGGTCGCCCGCTCCTAAGCGCCACGTGCTGCTAGGGGAGACCCAAAGGCCAGATCAGGCAGGGCTTTTCCAGGAAAGGAAGCGCTGGGCGGAAGTGCTTGATCTCAATGGAGCCCGCGGAGCACAGAGCGCGCATCCACCTGGCACCCTACAGGCAGGCGCTAAGTGGTTTTTGTTACTGTTGCTTTTAGATATGTTATATATGAGATAAGGAAACGTTATAGATATGCAAATTCTTTAGAAATTAAGATGACTTGATGCAAGGCAATTTTACTGGGATATTTTTTGGGGAGCATTGTGCCAGTCTGATCATAAAGCTCATTTGAAAGAACAATTGTTTTGAGACTAATGTAAGAAAATGTAAAAAGAAAAACACAAAGAAAATGTAAAAAAAAAAAAAGATAAAGGAGTACTTGCCCTAAAAGGTAATAAACTGCTTTATACAAAGCACCAGTAATTAATATGATGTGATACTAGTGTAGGAAGAGACAGAATAATGAAAGGAATAGAAAGTCAAGAAATAGAACTATGCATATATAAATAATTTGGTATATAATAAAGGTGACATGAGATCTGTAAGGAAAGATTGGATAACTAATAAATGGTAATAACAGGGCAACCAGCTAATCATTACACCAAAATAATTTCCAGATTGTTGAAAGAGTTTAACGTTTCTTTAAAAATCCACCAAAAAATGTTTTTGGAAAGAACATCCTAAGCAAATATCACTAAATTTCAGAAACAATAAACACATGTGATTGATATGGTTTGGCTCTGTCCCCACCCAAATCTCAATTTGAATTGTATCTCCCAGAATTCCCACGTGTTGTGAGAGGTACCCAGAGGGAAGTAACTGAATCATGGGGGCTGGTCTTTGCCATGCTATTCTCATGATAGTGAATAAGTCTCACGAGATCTGATGGATTTATCAGGGGGTTCTGCTTTTGCTTCTTCCACATTTTTCTCTTGCTGCTACCATGTAAGAAGTGCCTTTCCTCTCCCACCATGATTCTGAGGCCTCCCCAGCCATACATAATTGTAAGTCCAATTAAACCTCGTTTTGTTCCCAGCTTTGGGTATGTCTTAACCAGCAGCATGAAAATGAACTAATATAGTGATAATTTTGACTGGAAATAAAGAACACACAGAAACAAAATTTAATGAACAAGAAAAGGAGAAATATCTCTTAAATAATGGTCATTATATATGTATATCCACCTATACATATGTATTTCCTGAAATCCAACAAGAAAAAGATGAAAAAGTAGAGAATCGAGTATATCACGAAGAAGTTATATAAATGGCCAAAAAAATGAGAAAATCTTTGCACACATGTGACAGAGATTTAATAGTCATAATGTACATAAACATTTCTTAAATTCACTACAAGAAAAGATGAAGAAGGAAGAAGGGATATGTCACAATGAAAATATATAGTCAAGAATCATATTAAAATTTTCAACTTCAGTAGTAGCCAAAGAATGCAAATGAACAAGTTTTCACCACCAAACTGACAAATATTTTAAGGTACAATAATAAATGTTTTCAAAAATACCATAAGTCACTCTGTTGCACTGCTGGTAAATTGCTACTGCGTTTCTGGAACGAGATTTGGAGTGTTCCTCAAAAGCTTTAAAAAGAGCAATGCTTTTTGAGATGACAATTTTCCATCTAGGAAGTTATCCAATGGAAGCAGCTATGAATGAATTTACAGATTTCTTTACGTGAATGGACATCTCATTATAGTTTAGAAGACCAAAAAAAAAATTGGACAGAATTTAAATGTGTAAATATTGGGTATTTATCAAGGAAATTATTTCATTCTTTAAAGCCAGACTGCAAGGAATATTTTTGACAGAGGGGTACTCATGTATTAGTCTTATGTAATATCAGATTATAAAACAATATACTTATGATGATATTTTTATACACAATGTTTTTGGCACTAATAATCTATCTTCCTACTGAGAATGCTGTTCTGTTTTAAAGTCAAGGATGTGCAAGAGTGGAAAATAGTGGTGGGATTCCTCTCCGAAATGAAAGGTGAGTCTGTAAACATCCCTGATTGTAATAACTGTCTACAAAGGAGTTAGGGTATAAAGGTTAGGGAATGCATTTTCAATGCTATTTAAACACCTCAGAACCTTTATCATTTATCCTTTTCAAAACTTGCCTAGCTGTTTCCCCATTGAAATCAATCATTTAACAAATATTTATTCAGCACTTATTATGTGCCAGATACTATTTCAAGTGCTAAAGTCATTGTTCTCATGTAGCATATATTCAGATACCCCGTGATAGTTATAAAACAATTAGATATATAATGTGTCAGTGGTGATAAGCGCTGTGAAGAAAGACAGAGTGAAGAAATAGAGAAAACAGACTCTTTGACTTTCTGCTATTGGGAAAAAACCTAAAGGAAGTGAGGGAGTGGCTTATGCTGAGTTCAGGACAAAATGAGGAACATTGCAAGCAGAGATGACAGTAAGAGCAATGGCCCTGAGTCAGGAGTGTGCATGGTGGGGTGGGCACAGAAAGGAGATAAAAGAAGCTGGAATGGAGTGAGGTAAAGGACAAATGTGAGAAAATTTAAGAGGTAACTGGGAGGGTGCCAGATAACATAGTAAGATGCAGGTTATCAAGGAAATTCTTAAATTATGAAACTTTATATCCAAATTCTACAAGAAAGCAAGGAGCTGGACAGCCTCTCTACAGTTTTTCAACAATCTCAAGGGAGGTGTATCCCCAAGGGCAATGCCAACTAACAAGTGAATGAAACAGGGAGAATTTCAAAGGTCTATTGACAGGTATGAAGGATACATGGAAACAATTTAAAGCTAAGAAGGTGGGGCTGGGATTTCCTGGAGACCCAAAATATGGCTCAGAAGTAATTTGCATTATATCTATCTATCTATCTATCTATCTATCTATCTATCTATCTATCTATGCATATTCCTAAAAATACTTTAGAAAATGCCAGTGGGTATCCTCATTGGGTAACCAAGCATGAAGAATGATTATATCTGCTTCACTTCTGCAATTAGTTTCCTTTGAAAAAATTGCATGTAGAGACTTGCAACTGTAGAGGAAATCAGTAATTTGCATTGTTCTGCTGGACTCAGAAATGATCCAGATTATTTGGCAACGTGATTTCTTCCAGTTTGCATCGCATTTGCATTTTAATACAGTGTCAGTAGACATGACTATCTTCTTTGAACATTTTATTCCTTTCCTTTGCAAAGCAGTTATTCTGATCAGAGGATAAAATAACTTAAAATCAAGTCTCTGATGGAAATCAGACCAACTGATTGAAATAAATTTAAAAAGAAATCCTACTTCAAGATGTATGTGTAATAGAGTCAGATGATATATTCCTGCTGTTTCAGAAAAGATGAATTACTATAAATGCTGCCTAAACAAGAGGAGAAACTTCAAAATATTGGCATCTGAAAAACACAGCTTAACCAAGGAGGGAAAACTACATAGTATATAGATGTACTGTCCTTTAAACTACAGATGTCTTAAGAGGATTGCATATTTGTTAATTTGTAAGACATTATTGTGTATGCATTCTGTGACAGACTGTGCTAGGCAATAGGATAATTTAGTCTAGTGGGGAAGTATGATAAATGAAATAACTATATCACAAATAGGCTGAAAGAAGTAAGCACACAGTGGTGGGGGGAAGTACTGTAGAAACACAGAAAAGACTGGAAAACTTGGAAAGTCTTCTTGAAAGAGATGTTGCATGGGATAACTTGAAAATCAAAATGTGAAGAAGGATGGTAGCATGGGAAGATTCTTGGAAAAGAATCAAGAGCTCCCATTTTCAATATGAACTCTGCTACTAACTAAACTGTAACTTGAAAGATAATGGGAAATGTATACGAGAGGATTAAACAGGAGGAATAGATAATATGAAAGAGAAGAATGCTCAACACAAGCTAGGTAGAAAAGACTGAAAGTTCCTAGGAGCATGACTGTTGCCTTTTGACCAGCTATGCCTGGGGTGCCACATATCGTGGGTTTCTTGAACTTAAGAGAGGCAATGCTGGCAATTTTAATATCTTTCCTGCAAATCCTCCACTGTCTATGAACTTTTCCAGCTCCTCGCCAACAATTTTTGAAAGCAAAGCATCATCTAATCCATTGATTTCTCAATGAATGATTCCAGAATCTCCTGCAACAGTCACTCGGGGTTCTTATTCAAATGCAGAACCTCATTGTTGCCGAATCAGAATACCTGGGGCTTGAGTCTGTAGATCTTTATAGGAAAACACTGGATGATAGAAGGCTCTTTTCTAGGTGATTGTTTTGTACCAACTCATTGAACTGACTTGTTTACCCCTTCCAGCATCCTTGCAATCCAGAGAAACCAGTAACCACACTTGCACTCCCAGACAAGAATACTATGGTGACTGAAACCCATGGCTCTCAATTCCCAATTGAGTGGGTTTTCCTGTTTTTTTGGTGTAATCTCCCATCTCTGATCCAAAAAATTTCAACAGAGAGAAATTTTATGTTGTTAAGAAGCAAAGTAGGAACTTAATTTGTGCATATTGTAATTCTTTGATCTTATCTGTGAGCAAAAATATTCAGGAAAAATTCCTGAAAGAAAATAAAACCAAATATTAGCCATTTGTGTCTTCATGAGGTAAGATTATTGTTGATTTTATTCATCTTTCTCTTTTTCCACGGTTTGCATCCTCTAAAATAAGCATATATTTTATCATCAAAAATAACACAGTAACTTCATTTAACATGGGATAAAATTAAAATGGAAATACCTAAAGCTGTAAGTCACCTGCAGAGAGCTTTCAAACCTCTGATGAAGTGTATTTTAAAGCATATTTAACAATCTTTTTTGGCTTTTGCCTCCCAGATGGTATGGATATTCTCAACTGTTAAATACAGTAAGAAACTCTTCTTCAAAGGTTTAGCTTGCTTAAGTTTCCTTGTCCTTTTTCCCTGCTTTCAAGTCCAGACTTCCTTATGCTCTGTGTCCCCCTACCCTGGTAAACAACCTTCCCGCCAGTCCTTATCTATAGAGCCCACATTCCACATCTGCTACCCACTCTGTGAATTACCCTTCCCATTGCAACGGCTATTCCCGCTGAAACTGATCTTCCTGCCTTCCCACTGGTGTAACCCCATTCCTGCACTTTTCAAGTTAGCCAACCGGGTTCAGCTTAGATTGTGCAGTCCAACTCCAGCCAATGGAGGCAGGACACAGTAACAGGGACTAGCTGCGTTAGAGATAATAAAAACCCCTGCTTTCCTTTGTTCTGGGTGCTCTCAGCATTGCTCCATAAGTGAGACACACCCTTCTGCAGAAGTAAATTTGCCTTGCTGAGAGAACCTTTGTCCTTTGTCTCAGTGCTAGTTCTTCTTTGCAGCACCGAGCATTTGTTTCCAACATCAACGCTCTCTGACTGTATCTGATATTAGAAGATGTCCTTTGATCATCAACCTTTGCCCTGCTTTTCCTGAAAACATT
Source organism: Homo sapiens (assembly GCF_000001405.40). Lineage (NCBI taxonomy): Eukaryota > Metazoa > Chordata > Mammalia > Primates > Hominidae > Homo > Homo sapiens. The sequence goes on from NC_000009.12 coordinate 104,334,907, forward strand.
AAGTCATCAGAAACTGCCTCAGGATCACAAAGGGTTTGGAAGGTTTTAGTTTGAGGGATCAATGGAAATCACAGGTGGTAACAACATGTGTTGTAATTTTTTATAATATTATAGCATATATATTTCTCATGTTACTAAATAGATTTTAGAAACATCAATGAACCAAAGATTCCTGACACTAAAATCATCACAGCATCGATGTGTTTTGTTCAGATTATGAATCTGCTTCAAATCATTCAAAATATGTTTTCTGTCTCATGACACATTTATTTTTTATAAGTTTCATTTTGTTTTTAATTGATACGAAATAATTGAGTATATTTATGGGATACAGTGTGATGTTTTGATACATTCATGCATTGTATAATGATCAAAGCAGGGTAATTAGCATATCCATCACTTCAAATACTTGTCATTTCTTTATGGTGACAACATTCAAAATCCTTTGTTCTAGCTATTTTGAAATAAACAATACCTTATTATTAGGTATAGTTACACTAATGTGCAAAAAGAATCAGAATTTATTTATCCTATCTAACTGTAACTTTCTCTTAACCAACCTTTCTCCATCCCCTTCTCCCCACTACCCTTCCCAGCCTCTGGTAACCACTATTCTACTCTCTACTTCTATGAGGCTCTGCTCACTATCTCCTCAATTTCCTCTTCCTCTAATCTCATTGTCATGTTATATAATTAGTCGCACTTAGGGAAAGCGGTGATAAGGGGCAACATAAGTTTAGGCGATAAAAACATACTTTCAGTCCTCATGAAGATATTGCTCTCAAGGCTGGTGATTCATATGAAGGAGCTTATGAGAAACTAATAGCACAAACTTTTTAAAGAGCAAACTTGTAATAACAGATGAGTTTGACCAAATTTTTGTGAAAGTACCAATTCAAGGAGTCTTCTTATTCCCCTGTCCCACCTTAGAAGATATAGTCCCCGCAGGTCCCATATAATGTAGAGAAAGTAAACATCCATCAGGCTTGGATAATCTTAGGAAACTGACCTGAGTGTCAAAATATTTGCAGATGGACCTGAACCCTCAACAGGGTATTGATATATCACCTGACAATCTCTCCGTTTTCTTCCTTGATAAATCAGATTGCACTGATTCTAATTGCACAAATTCTAAACTTGAAGAAAGAGGAAGGCAAAATAGTCTGAGGAAATGAAATAGCAAGTAAGTACTAGTAATACATAGGAAAACACTGGATGATAGAAGGCTCTAATAGTGCCCATTCCTGGACACCAGGAATAACAGCCCCAGAAAAGTTCCCTGCTCTTCCAGTAGGGAGCTTATTATAGCTCCTCCAATTTTAGTTAAACTCCTCATAATAAAACTCCTTATGCAGTTTTTATATTATAATTTTGCATTTCTTTCATACAGTAACATATTATATTGACATCAACCCCCAAAATATTTCATTTTGGGCTTTAGAAAAGATAAAGCTGATTCAGAAAATAAGAGTGTAAAATGGCACTCTTCCTAACTCTGAGTTCAGTTATATCATGAAATCAGCCAGTGAGAGTACTTTAAACCACGGAAATCAATAATCACTACACATCAGAACCCTCACCCCCAGCTCCCACCTGATAACCATGCTCCCGTGGCCTGGATCTTAGCACAGATGTCCTTAATTGGTTCCCACCGGCAGCATGATAATCTAGATACAAGAACATTGCAGCTTGGAAAGACAAGAGAAAGCCAAATTTCCCACTTAGACGGGAATTCCAATATGACCCAAAGTGTAGCTCAAAGAATACCCTCCTCCTATCTTAATTCAGAGGAACAAGAAGACAAACGTGAAGAAGAATAAAGAGGAGGAGGAAGTGAGAAAGAAAAGAAGAAAAAGGGGGGGAAATAAAGTGAAAGAAAAAATGGCTTGTCTAAAGTTCTGTTCTTTCCACAGTGGTCAAAATGCATGGCCATTAATCATTCTTTGTTTCAGAGAGACTTTTACTGTGAATTTTATTTATCTGTTCCTCTTTTTTATACTGGTATTAGAGTACCCTACAACATGCCTAATTATTAGAACAGGCAAATTCTGGACCACACTTGGCTTCTACACCTCCAAATCCAAGACTGTTCACTCCCATGAGGGCCCTAATGCAATTAATGAGATGCAATAAAACATTCTACTTCCAAGAATCAAGGGAAACAAATAAGGGATTCTCAGACACAAAAGAAGCAGCCACAGACAAAACAAGATTAGGGAAAAGATATTGAACTTGAATCATTGTTTTTGGAGAAACCCAAGAATTTAGATTAGACTCATTAAGAAGTTGCTTTTTGGCAGATTAAATTTCTTATGAAACTGCTAACGAGTATAATTTCTCAAAGATACTTAGATATAGTTTATCGCAGTTTAGTACTAGTCAAAAACTCATATCCTTTTAAGTATATTCTCTTGAGACTTTTAAATATCAGAAACATAGCCAAATATCAAAATTTCTCTCAGGCAGTTCAAAGTAGATGGTTTCATAAATTATATCAATGGCACAGAACATACTCTGCAGTCTCAAGATATAGGATGATTTCTGTAAGTCCATGGATACTTCATTGGTGTATTGTGGGTGTCCCCACGAATCATCACAAAAAGAAGGTGAAGCTGAAATACTTGTATTAAAATTTGCAATTTGCTTCATATTTCCAGTGTGTTTCTGCTTTGATATTCTGTTCAAACAAGCAAAAATAAGTAATTCTCAGTTACTCTTGGTAATACCACAGAAATTTTTCTAGTAAAAAAACAGAATCAAAAAACAAAATGGAAGTCTCCAGTCGGACAGGGATCTTGGTCTATTTTGTTTACTAATATATCCCTGATGTTTAGAATAGTGCTTGGGAGAGTAGATACTGAATAAATATTTGTTGAATGAATGATTAAACAAATGAATAGAAATTTTAGATTAATAATCTAAAATTTACTAGTTTTTTATAGTAGTTTTCTATAGGTTTTACTGGTTTTTTATAGGTTTTCTTTTTTTTTTTTACTAGTTTTTCTATAGGTTTTTTTTTTTTACTAGTTTTTACTAGTTTTCTATAGGTTTCATTGCAGTTTGATTGAACCCACATGATTGCATTTTCTTTTTCTATTTTCCATGGTAGATGTACATTTCTGTCACAGAGAAGCAAAAGAAATCTTTGGAACTTCATATTTCTAACTCATGATTTAACATTCTACAAATTAAAACCTCTTCTTCATAAGAACCCTTTTTCACCTAAAAAGTTCATCATGTCAGAAAATCCCTTAACTAAGGAACATATCCAAGTAAAATTATATCAAGAAGCCAATTTAATTTATAATCTTGCTTATTAAAATTTGTATTTATGTTATTTATTTCGGCCACTGTTTTTCTATTTAAAAAAGCACAGCCAATCAAAAACAGAAATAAAGACAAACTGGTTTGAAGGGAACACCCCATACCCTTTTACTAAGTACCTGAACTTATTTGAGATTTTCAGTAATCTCAAGAAGCTGTAAATACACGGAACACAAAGGAGCAATCATTTCTTAAAGGAAGAAAAGATAGATATGAAAAGCAGAAGAAATACCGTATCTATTCTGGAAATCTATTAGGGAATATTTTGTTGAAACTAGTTAATGAATACTTTGGGAACATCCATATTTGAGAAGGAGAATCAATTTAATTACCATTGTCAATCCAAGTCTTAATCGAACAGGTAATTAATGCTAATTAGTTCAGTACACTTTCTATTAAATTAAGCGAACAAGTAATTTCATTTAAACTAAGCATGCCCATAGATGTCTATAAATGCAAGTATGTAAAAAAAAAAGATCTCTGGTGTTAATTTTCAGGAAGATCAAAATACATGAAATTAGGCCTTTCTATTTTGAAAATTAAATTCTAAACTTCCCCTTCATCAAGAAATTAAGACCTTTCTCACTTGAAAATACAGAAATTTGATTTTGAAAGTGCCCAAGCTTCCAACTCTATTATAGAAAAATTTTATAGTTTTAGGCAACCAATTTTCTTAAACTCCCTTATATAAATTCTTTAGATAAGTGTTCCCCTAATTTGGCTGTGTAGTAGATTCTCCTGGGGAGCTTTTTAAAAATACAGTTCTCGACCGGGCGCGGTGGCTCACGCCTGTAATTCCAGCACTTGGGGCGGCCAAGGTGGGTGGATCACAAGATCAGGAGATCGAGACTATTCTGGTTAACACGGTGAAACCCCTTCTCTATTAAAAATACAAAAAATTAGCTGGGCACGGTAGCGGGTGCCCGTAGTCCCAGCTACTCAGGAGGCTGAGGCAGGAGAATGACGCGAACCCGGGAGTCAGAGCTTGCAGTGAGCCGAGATCGTGCCACTGCACTCCAACTGGGAGACAGAGCGAGACTCCGTCTCAAAAAAAAAATAAATAAATAAAAATACAGTTCTCAGGATTCCTGCCTAGATCTACAGAGTCAGAACTTGTACAGGAGAAGCCCAGGAATCCTTATTTCTTTAAAAAATATTTTTTTCCAAGTGATTCTGATGTGCAAACAAGTTTGTGAATAAAACATTCTAGGTATGTAAGTATCTCCTACCATCACTCCCTGTCTCCACTCTCATTCTTCCACATTTTCCAAGAAGCAATTCTACATAAAAATCAAACCAATTATCAGATTTGGAGGATTTATATTTGTGTAAATTAGCCTATAATTCACAAAGGATATACAAATTCCTTGAGGCCCTGGGAGCTATCCAAAGATGATTTTGCATTCTCCATAGCTTGCCAGCAAACCACCAACAACTAGGAGAGAAACCAGGGGCAGAGTCTCTTCCACAGCCCCTAGAAAGAATCAACCCTGCTGAAACCCTGATCTTGGAACTGTAAGATTGTAAAACAATAAATTTTTGTTACCTAAGCCACCCAATTGTGGTACTTTGTTAAGACAATACCAGGAAACTAATACATGGACCCATCACTAGAGCCAGATGAAAGCAGCAGTCTGATCAGGCTTGAGTCATGGGCAGGCCACAACACCAGGAGTGGAATGATAGCACTGAGACAAGTTGAGGGGAGGAGTGCTTCTCATGGTAAGTTAGAGTTGGAGGATGTATGGGAGCTGGGTAGAATAAACTTCAGCTGTAAACTATATAGTTCTCATCTTTTTTCAGTGTTAAGGGCATGAAGGCTCACTTCATTTATACCATTGAAAATGACTGTGGTTTCCTTCCCAATTTGAATGAAGCAATGATAACGTAAGATCCCTGGTAAATAATTACAATGATATCTCAGTAATCAGCATATTTGATCAAAATCTTCTACTTACTTTTCATGATACATAAGGGAAGTTTTGCTATATTAATATATTCAAAACACACCAAAGTAGTAAATTAAACATATGTAGAAATTCTATGAAAGCTAAACTTTGGAATGGGTGTGTAAAAAAAAACATACCAAAAACGAAACTAGTTTTCAGGTTGAAGCAAATTCTGTGCAGTACTAATATGTGAGAAGCATGGAATTGTGCTTTAGAGGAGAGTTAAGACACCACTGGTATTAGTGTATATGCTCAGATAATAAAGGTTAAGCCATTGGTATATATATTCATGAAATGGGCCATTAACATTGTTTGTTTTATATTTAACTCTGTAGGGTCTACTAATTTACAATTAAATTTAAAAATCCACGAAGACTAATGAGCTAATAATTGCAAAGAACTCTGAGCATGGATAAAAGGCACCAAGGGAGGACAAATTTATATTTGTGAAAATCGAAACATTTGAGACTTTAATTACATCCTTGGCCAGAACTGACTTGTAATCAGTTATGACGACTAGCTCATTAATGCTTTACTATGGGATTTCTAAACAACCCGTTGAAAGCCATTTCACTTATCAAATTTGAATATACTTGAGAGCAGAAATTTTCTGGTATCTTCCTGAATGCAGCAGATTGTCTTTTTTCATCAAAATTTAAAGGATTCTAATGAGTCCTATAATATAATGGACCTCTGGATTGTCAGAATTTTCATTTCAGTTTTAAACTTGAGTGGTAGGTGAATGTATTTCTAGAACAGAGGGGAAAGAATAAATAAAAGAATTCCTTTAAGTCTCAGTGTGAAGATAGTTGTGGGACTAGGCTCAGTGTAATGGAGACCCAAATGCTTGGTTTTCAGTGTGAGAGCCCTGAGCTTTCCAAACAAAGCCTTAAAAGAGGTGCCAGAGTTTCTCCCAGCATGGTATTTGTCGATCAAATGTTCTGGAAAATGTAGGAAAACATGTACATATATACATATTTGTGTGTATACATAATCTCTAATTTAAAAATGCTCAAATCTACAGAAAAATGGAAAGAATAGGTAAATGTGCAACAGTACAGTGAACACCATTATATCATTCACTTTCATTCCAGCATGTATATTCTGACTTATTTTTATAAATGTTTGAATCTAATGTTTATATTTAATATTTACATTAGGAAATGCCAATCAGTAATCCAAATGGTGGGAATTTGGATGATGTTAATTTATTTTTAATTTACTCCTATACATATTCTAAAACAATGGTTATGTATTGTATTGGTCTGAATGTCCCCCAAAATTCATACTATAGTTTGAATGTTCCCCAAAATTCATGTGCTAAAACTTAATTGCCAGTGTGATAATATTAAGAGGTGGGGGCTTTAGGTGGTTAAGTCCTGAGGGTGGAGGCTCCATGGATGGGGTTAACACCTTATAAAAAAGCTTGAGGAACTAAGTTCCTGCATTCTGTCCCTTCTGCCCTGTGAGGAAACAGTGTTCCTCCTCTGAAGGACGCAGCAACGGGCATTATCTTGGAAGCTGAGAACAGTCCCCGCCAGACACCAGACCTGCCAGTACCTTGATGTTGGACTTCCCAGCCTCCAGAACTATGAGAAGTAATTTTCTATTGTTTATAAGTTACCTGCTCTCAGGTATTTTATTACCAACAGACTAAGACCACTTATATAAATAAAAAAGAGCATGACATCTTGGAAAACCTTTCTTACTGGGTTATCAGGAAACAATTTCATTAGGGAGCTATTCAAGGCTTCATACACTTCATGTTAAATATTTAAATCTATATGTAGAGTTGAGATTTGTGATTGGCTGTGAGTTATAGCTATCTTAAACATAGTAAAAAAAAAAATAGAAAGACAGAGGGTTTTATTTTTCTCACACACCAGGGAGTTTAGAGGTAAGAACTCCAAGGCTGGTATCTCAGCCCCACAAAGTATAAAATACTCAGGCTCCTCCCACATTTCTCTGTGTCCTCCTTATGCATTCAGATTCACATGGTTATAAGTAATGTCCTCATTCCAGTCAGGAAGAATGAAGATAGCATATGTCAGTTAATCTGGCTTCTAAACGAGTGTTTTTTTCTTTCTTTTTTTTTTTTTAAAAAAAATAATAATCCCAACCAAGTAACTTCTGATTATATGTATCTCAACGTGTAGAACTAAATTATCTGGTCATATTGATCTGTAGGCAAAGCTGGGGAATGCAATCTTTTGCTGAGCACAATGTCTTTTCTAACAATAGTGAGTGTGAAGCACAATATTATTTACCACTGAGGGAAAGAAATTTCGTGCTGGTGTAACTATGTCATGATTTCTTCCCACTTAGAATATTTATTTGATAGTCATTGAAAGATTCATTTTGATTTTTAAATAATTAGAATATTGTCATGTATTATGCTGTTCTATATTCAGGACACTGTGCATATATTTTTATTTCAATGGTAAATTGTAACAATCTTTTTGAGGACATTATAAAAAGCAAATAAATTCAACATGAATGGTACCAACTATACACATGATTCAGTTGATGTGATGATAATATGATCAGCATTGACCGAATTCATATGTCACGTGATGACTGTTATATTATGATGCCTCTTAGCAAACATGGTAGCAAGACATCAACAATGACGAGAGTATGGAACAAAAAGAAATTTGTCCTGGAACCACTCAGAATGACACCTAAGAATTAACCAGACTGCTGTGAGGTAGTCAGTGTCATCTGAAACACAACTTACTTGTATCTGTGTGGCAGAAACTTTAAATTTAAATCAGATTCTTTTTTTTTTTTTAAAGAGATGGTGGTATTCTCTTTCAATAAGGAATGATGTAAGAATTAAACATAACTATTTTCAAAAAGCAAAAATTCTGAACAGGATAAAACATTTTAGATTTCAGGAGAAGAACTGAGGAAGAAAAATATACCAGGTCCTAAGAAAAGAAAAGAAAAGAAAAGGATAAGCCAGAGGGCAGAGTAGAAACAGGTATTTGTTCACTGCAAATTTCAAAGAGATAAAGGCACTGGAAATAGAATGGATGCAGGCATTAAAATTCCATCCTCCAAATGTTAGGGACACAAAATTAAGCTGAGAATGAGGGACATGGAGGATGCTAGGATTATAATTAGCTCATACTTTTGCTGTGATCTTGCATGCTTTTTATCAGTATAATTAAGGTCACATAATCCCTCATCTAATAGAATATCTGGCAGAGAATGTGCTCAAAATTATTTATTACATTGAATTAGAACATTGAAAACTTTTATTGGGATAAGGAGTTGAGAAACACCCCAGGATGTTCATGAGCGTTCCTTTTCAGCAGAGTAGGTCAAAAAGAAGTTTCTCTTAGAGATTGTGTGTGTATGTGTGTGTGTGTGTGTGTGTGTGTGTGTGTGTGTGTGTGTGTGTGTGTATGTGTAGGGTGATATTCAGATTACTCTGTGACTTTGGAACACAGGTAGGAACCAGCAGAGAGGAGTCAGTCATATCCATCAAAACTAAAGAAGCTTAAAAGTTACATGATGAAAGAATATTCTAGTTGTCTAGCTTATAAGAAAAATCAACCAGGTGTGGTGGCTCATGCCTGTAATCCCAGCACTTTGGGAGGCCGAGGCGGGCAGATTGCCTGAGCTCAGGAGTTCACGAACAGCCTTGGGCAACACGGTGAAATCCTGTCTCTACTAAAATACAAAAAATTAGCTGGGCGTGGCGGCATATGCCTGTAGTACCAGCAGCTCGGGAGGCTGAGGCAGGAGAATTGCTTGAACCTGGGAGGCGGAGTTGAAGTGAGCCGAGATCGCACCATCGCACTCCAGCCTGGGCAACAGAGGAAGACTCCATCAAAAGAAAAATCATGGGATAGAGTTTCAGTAAAAACAATGAGTTCTTAATTTATATTAGATGTAATTCAATTACATTTTTTAATGTACATTCTCTCCGTAGCTTCCTGAATTGAGTACTGTGGGAAGACAACAGAAGAGAGTGATAGATTGTAAAGAGAGGCTTGGATTCAGTGACAAACTTTTCTGGGCTCCACTCCAGATTTAAAAAGTCAGCATCTCTGCAGTTTTGACTTTAGCATCTGTTCTTTAAAAATCTGCCAGGGTGATTCTGATGTGCAGCTCTATTTTGGATCCTCCAGACTGGATTATGTCTAGAGTTCCTTTCAGCCCTCAAGTTGCAGACTTTAACACATTTATCATGCATTCAACAAACCTACTAGTTTTTACTGGCAGCTGGCAGCTCTGCTAGTTCTCATCTGTCCTTAAAATATAGAAGATTATGAGAATCTCATTAACTTTCAAATAGGCTCATGTTAAGGAAACTCCAGAGCCAACTAAATCCCCCAGAGATACAGAGCCTGAAGAATTCTCAGGATAGGAGAAGAGCAAGAGTGTGCTGCTAATCTTATAATGTTAACATTTCCACCTATTATCTTCAATTCCCTGCCCCTATATGTTTCTGTAACAGCAAAACTTTATTGCAGTCACAAAAGTCTCCACTATGCAATGAAGGATGGCCTGGAGACCACCAAACTACTTCCATGGAAGAACAAGACTGCTCAACCATAAAGACTGTGATCCTTTGATACTCAGCTCACTCAACCTGTAAGGAAGTCTTCCGCCAGAAGAGGTGTAGTGGTGGGTTTGATAACTCAGAGCAACATCAGGAGAACTCAAGAAATAAATATATCTTCCTTTGAATGTAAGCAAAATCAGATACCTCTCTTTCTGTCTTGTTTAATTGGACCAGACTTCCTTATAATAAAGCAAACATGGCATTGGACCCCAGTTAGGAGCTTTCCACTTTACAGGCTGTAGAAGAGACTGCAAGAGCATCAGACATTCATTGATATATACAGCTGTGGCTACAGTGAAGGTAATAAAAGAGGGTTACATGTTTACTAGAAGTTTTCCAACAAATATAACTATAAATGTTCCACATAGATTGTTGGTATTAAAAGGACCTCTATATTTTATAGTTCGTAAAGAATGAGTAGGAAATGGCCAAGAGAGAAAACAGATAAGAGATTCTGGCAGATTGAAAACTTCAGATCCTTGTGCAAATATGAGAATCTCATTGACTTTCAAATACGCTCATGTTAAGGAAACTCTAGAGCCAACTAAATCCCCCCGAGATACAGAGCCTGAAGAATTCTCAGGATAGGAGAAGAGCAAGAGTGTGCTGCTAATCTTACAATGTTAACATTTCCACCTGTTATCTTCAATTCCCTGCCCCTATATGTTTCTGTAACAGCAAAACAGGAAGTTATGAAAGCTAATAGGGAGACCTTTTAACTGAGAGATCGATAAAAACATCAGCTCACGAAGGGTGTGGTGGAGGAGGATTATATTTCATACTCCACTGATATTTCCTTGTCTACTTCACTGCCTTCGACCAATGAAATGGGAACAAAAGTTATGATTGCCACTTTCACTATAGTTTTAAGAACCAGTATACAGTCCATGATAGATTTTTCTTTTTTATCTTTGTGGCATGCCCAGATCGGGTTTGTTTCTTCAGTCTGATTCCCAGAATAAAAATAATTTGGAGATCTTCAGTCAACTGGTTAATTGCATGTATCATAGCAAGAAATATGTCTTTGTTACTATAAGTCATTGTTATTTGGAAGCCATTTGTTTATGTTACATAACACCACTTAAGCTGACTGATACAAAGTGTTTTGTATGTCATTCTAGGAGATGGATTTAATACTGATGTTTGTGAGGACTCAGTAATGGTTTTTAAACTAAGAAGCAAATGGATAGAGATGTTAACTATGAAGGATGAAAGGAAACATTGAAGCAGTAGATTGGGAGCTTCTTCCACAACTAGCAAGCTCTAAATGCTATCATTCCTCATATCCGCATGTTTATAGACATTCTCATCTAAAATACAATAACTTAGGAAACAAAAATAAATGCAAATAAAAATCATAAATATTTTAATACTTTATTATGATCCCAACTGCTCCATTATAATTATCAGCAAAGGAGAATTTATTCTTTATCAAAATAATTCTTAACATTCCTCAAAGCTGTCTTAATTTTAAGGTCACTGGAAACTCTTTGTCTCTAAAGATTCAGAAAAAATCTACTCTTACAATTAATAATGTATGGCCAATGGATGTGAATGGCAGTAATTTTCTTATGTGTCCTAGAAAACCAGCACAAATTGTTGTGTGGTAATATTTTTTCAAAAATATATATTAATATTGACACTATCAGTCATCTATTAAAGAGATTCACTGAAAATGCAAATGAAAATAGAGAAATACAAAAAAATCATGAAAATTTACTACATGGATAGATACTGATTTGGGCAGAGTGGCAGATACCCAGATCAAATTAAATAACAGTTGTCTAAATGTTCCCCAAATTCTGTATGTTTAGCAGTTTTGCAGAGTAAATATTTGGATATCTGGTGGAAGTTTTTGTTTTTTCTAAGCATGCAGACATTTTATTTGGAAAAAGATACTATTCAAAAATAAAGAGAAAAACACATTCCAACTAAAGAGAACAGTGAAAAGGTCTTTTAAAGTCAGATTGACTGGTTTCATTAAGTTCACCAGATGAATTTGTAAGGCCTTCCTTTACCTTGTTTAACTGGTCTTAAAGGCTTAAGGACGTTTTAAGCTCAAATCAGAGCAGTCTAAAGGAAGTTTCTCAAATTGTGAAATCGGTTCTCAGAAATCATGACGCATCGACTCTTTGGTACATACATTATTAAATGCAAAAGTCTGAATAAACTTTTATCTAAAAACATAATAAACACAAGGTCTTCAGAAATGGTTCATTGTGCATTTTTCCCAAGCATGTTGTCTGAATGGTTCTGAAACATAAAATAACTCCCATTTATTTTGGTCTGAGTGCAGACTAGTTTAGCTTACAGACAACATGCTGGACACATGTCTGAGAAAGATGACTCAACTTCACTTTTCTTACAAATAAGGATAATCCAGGCCGGGCGGTGGCTCATGCCTGTAATCCCAGCACTTTGAGAGGACAAGGAGGGCGGATCACAAAGTCAGGAGATCGAGACCATCCTGGCTAACACGGTGAAACCCCAACTCTATTAAAAATACAAAAAATTAGCTGGGTGTGGTGGCGGGCGCCTGTAGTCCCAGCTACTCAGGAGGCTGAGGCAGGAGAATGGTGTGAATCCAGGAGGCGGAGCTTGCAGTGAGCAGAGATTGCACCACTGCACTCCAGCCTGGGCAACAGAGCGAAACTCTGTCTCAAAAAAAAAAGGATAATCCAATGTGGAAATTAATAGGAGCAGTTGAAATTATTCAATCAACAGGACTGATGTTTCTTGTTTATTCTGTTTTCAACCTTGGGGTCACAGGATTCATAAAATGATTCCCAAAGGCATTTAAGTACATTATAGGAAAAAGAGTTCAAGAGCTAGGTATAGCTCAAACACACTAAGGAACTAAAGAAATATCAAAAGAGACTTGCTAATAAAAACAAATATTTCCCATAGGACAAAGAGGCAGAGAAGCAGAGGACATCTCTGAAATTAGGGCAGGAGAACTAATACCATTGTTAAAGAAAGAAGTAGCAATAATTTGGCAGAGGCAATTCAGACAAAAAGTTGTGATAGCATAGAAAGCTCACTGGACAGACACCAGTCCAGTGATTTGCAGAGACTCAAATATCTTCAGGATCTCTGCACACAGAATCTGAAGATATCTCTGAACAGAGAACCATACATATGCATGTTAAATCCAGAAAAAAATTCGTTTCAAACACCTGAATCCAAAGACAGATTCTTCAAAGGAGAGAGAGAGATAGAGAGAACAAATATGAATACAAATGGAGAAGCAGAGATGCGCCAAGATAAATGCCACACACTGAAGATAATGACACAATTTGCCTTTTTTTACTTCACTATTTTTTAATTTTTTTTGAAATTTATCATTGTTCATTAATGTATATTCCTTTCATTCATTTTAACTGTTGTGTGGGACTCCATTCTGTGAGTCTAGAATAATTCATTAATCCTCCTCCATCACTAAATAATTAAGCTGAGTCCTGTTTTTAGCTGTAATAAACAAGGTCTCAAAGAGCCTGGGCTCTATTCTTAAAGGGGGAATTGATGAGTCGCAGATTATGTCTGTCTTCAACTTTGTTTTCCAGAAGGATGGTTTCAATTAATATTCTCACCAATATGTTGAGAATTCCTCTTTCTCTACATTCTTATTTATATTTGGTATTGCTTTTCTGTTTTTTAAAAATATAGTGTTTTATTCTATATTTCTTACTGCTTTATAAGAAAGTGTGGAGAGAATGAGACAGACGGTGTGGGGGGAGGGACAGATAGAGTTTACTGGTTACATGCATTGTAAATATCTTCTTTCAGTTATGTGGGTTATCTTTATTGGCTATATATTCTCTAATTTTTATTCTCTATGCCTCATTCCAGGTGATTTATTGAGATCTGTGTTTTAGTCCAAAATTTTTTGTATCAGTCTCTGTTCTACTGAAGCAAACATAAGATTAATTTTTTTCATTAGAGTAAGATTAATTTCATTCCTTTGATTTCATCTCATTTAACTAAATTTTTACCTTTCTAAATTTTCCATTTGGTTCTTTTTCAAATATATCTGCATTTTAAAAATATTTCCCTGTTGTTTCATATGTCTTCTATTTGTATTTTCATTTTTATTTTATTTTTAATTTAAAATTTTAATTTTAGAGTACTCTACCATATTTTAATTGGGTTATTTTTTTCTACCATACCTCACTTATAGATATTTATCATGTGGTTTCTAATTTGTGACTGTGAGTTCATCTTTACTTAAGGTTTTATTTCTTTCCTTCCCCAATTCGAGTCTTATTTTCCCTAGGTTTAGATAGTGTCTAAAACTGTACTATAGTGCTGTTCAGAGTTTTGTTTTGTTGTAGTTTTAGGAATTTTAGTAGAACCTGGCCATTTTTCTCTAAAGTGCTTAGCTTTGGTTCCTACTCCAAGAAGAGGGTGTGAAACCCCAATTATAAGAAAGTATGGGGGCCAGATGTGGTGACTCAGGCCTATAATCCCAGCATTTTGGGAGGCCAAGGCAGAAGGCTTACTTGAGGCCAAGGGTTCAAGACTAGCCAGGGCAAAATAGTGAAACTCTATCTCTACAAAAAAATAAACTAATTAAATTAACCAGGTGTGGTGGCATACACCTGTAGTCCCAGCTACTCAGAGGGCTGAGGCAGGAATATTGCTTATGCCTGAGTTGGAGGCTGTAGTGAGCCATGATTACACCACTGGACTCTAGCCCGGGTGACAGAGAAAGACTCTGTCTCTAAAAAAAGGAAGGGAGGAAAGGAGGAAAGGAGGGAAGGAGGGAAGGAAGGAAGGGAGGGAGGGAGGGAGGGAGGGAATATCTATTTTCCACATATGCTAGAGTATTAAAAATGAAAAGGAATTAGAGAAGCAAAGGTAAACTGTATTTATAGAAAGGCTTTGAATGGAGATAATTTTTCACTGTATGAGATGAGTCTCTACTCCCATGGAAAAGGGGCAACAGGTTCACACTTCAACGAAAGCCTACTGATAGCAAATTAAAGTAAACACTGAGTGAGATTTATGTATGACCCCAGGAATTTGGTGGACATAGTAGGCTTGTATATGACGCCTACTTGAGAACTATAAAAAACAAAAGACTGCCAAAATTAACCTATGGCATCAGAGTGGGGAAGTTTAATTAGGAAGTAGGTTTACTCCTGCTGACATTAGGGTCTAAGGAGCAGGTTTCAGTGGACCAGATATAGATTGTTAGTGAGAACACTGCCATAAATTTGTCTTAGAAGCAGCTTTAAACACCTATCTGGTGGGGAAATGAGAGTTCATTTAAAAGGAAACTATATATAAAAAGTCCCCAGATATTTATGGGCTCACTAAAGAACCCACATAACATTTTAAAAAATAAAAAGTAATTCTTATCCTCCTACCATCATAGAGAATTTATTAACAACTTATAATATAGCCAGTCAAGAAAGACATACTGTTTTCTTACATCTCCTTCATTTGCCCTCCTTTCTCTTCACATGAACCTTGGATATATCAAAAAACATGGTTAGCAGTATAGGAGAGAAGGAGTAAAAATATAAATTAAGAAAATGGAGAAAGAGTTGGGCATGGCTGCTTTCTCACTGAAAATAGCCTTCCAAATCAAGCCCAGGTAAGGGTAGTAAGAGGCTATATTTTTTGTCCATCTGATGCTTTCAATTTAAATGAGAGGTTGTTTTATTTTTTTACTGATTTTATGTTTTTGCAACTTCATATTAGAAATAGATAAGTTTTAAAAATTTTACAATAAACATCCAAATATCTGTCACCTAGATTCAACATGCCTCTGAATTTGCCCTGAAGGTTAACATTTAGCCAACAAATGGAGAAAGAGAAAATGTCGAGAATCACTTGGTGTGTTTTATGGTTCAGTATTAGAAGTAGATTATATAAGTTGATGAAATGCTCACATGTCATCAGTCAGAATTTATTCACATGGCACTATCTACAGGCAGGGAAAGCAGAAAAGTAGACCCTGGCTGGCTGCCTCAACTCAGCAGCAATTCCAGTGTGGAGTAGCAGCATGAATCTGTGGTATTCAGCTGGTTGTCTCATCACATTTGTTTTGTTTTCTTAACACTTGTCTCTCGTGCATTTAAAATTTATTTGTATGTGTGCGTATGATGTTAGTTCATCATACGGATATTCGGTTTTGATTATTTCCTGAATTGGATATGTCATTATCAACCTGAAACTGTTTGGAGGATGAAGGTAACTGATGTTCTTTTTGTAAAGAAGAAACTAGAAAAGCTCCGGAGCCAATGTGGGATTTAAGTGAGGGATAGGGCAGAATTAACCTCACAAAGAGAGTTTGAACAGGCAGTCAAGGAAAGAAGAAAATTGTTTTATCTGATATCCCTGATAAGACCCACTTGTCTGTGCCAAACATTTTAAAAACATACATAATCCTTGATTTTAAATTTAGTACAAGACTTTTTTACCCTCTAGTGATTCTACATTTAGAATAATTAAAACAAACAAATCCACAAGCAACCATCTCCACTAATTGAAAGACTTTTTATGTGTAATAATAAAATGCAAAGATAAAAGCCAAGATCTAATCAGGTAAAAGTCATTGGTGTAGGCTAAACTGTCTGCTCTTTAATTTAGGTGTCTGGTAGTTAGGTATTCAACTCTTTGTTTCTGTTTTGTTTGAGCTAAGTGACACTGGGATATAGCACCATCAATCACAGTTGATTATTTACTCCACAGTATCGCTATCATATTTAAAACATATCAATTCTCAAAACACCTCATGCCTTGAAATCAATTTATGTTGTACAATGAGCCCCAGCATCTGATAAATTATATGGTAAAAAGAATTCATTGTCAGTATCAATTTCAAAATACTACTTGTTAGGCTTTAAGACCAAACTTATCTGATAAAAAGAATGTTTTCTATGCCATATTTAAAACCTATGTTCTAGAGGAGAACAACACACACTGGGGCCTACTAGACGGTGGAGGCTGGGAGGAGGGAGAGGATCAGGAAATATAACTAATGGGTACTAGGCTTAATACCTGGGTGATGAAATAAATAATGTGTACAACAAACCACCCTGACACATGTTTACCTATGTAACAAACCTGCACATGTACCCCTGAAATTAAAATAAAGATTAAAAAAATAAAACTTATGTTCATATTTTATTGAAACCTTTGTAAAATGCTGACTCTGCTGAAGGTAGACGAACATCCACCTAAACTACATGGAAAGGAATTAATTAATTAGGTACCTTGGCCTTCAAAAATGGTCAACTCAAGAATAATTTACCAAAGAGAATTTGAAACCTCATTTAACAAAAGGATGGACTCCCGATTGACACACTCTTTATCTCCATTTTGAACTCGGTGAAATAAGAAGTATAACTTGAACTACTACTTTCATTCCTGTCAGGATTAATTACTATGAAGTTTTTAAGCCTCAAAGAATAATATAAAGAACTAATGACCACTCTAGTAAACACATAAAGGCACAAGCATTAGGTTTGTGTTTAAAGAAAGAAATTAGTACTATTTAATACCACTTGGGACTGTGTCCTTTAACAATAGACTCTGAAGTGATTTTAGCATCATATATCATCCTAAACACATGCAGTGGACTCTGGGTAAGAAATCCAGGGCTGGCTTAGCTAGGTTCATCCTTTCCCTAACTCATGCTAATGTCTTTCTCTCTAGAAGTGGGCCTTCACAAACAAGTTTTAGCTCTTACTAAAAGTTTGGGATTTTTTTCTTATATTATTATGTTCCTCCTTACTCCATATAATCATTAATCAAGGGATAAACAACTGGCCTAAGTTTCCTTATTTTTCCCCCAGGAGTCCAAAACTTTGATTGAAGCAAATCAGAGACTACATGTATACCACATCTGACATGGCTTCCAGTGATCCTCCCTCCTGGTATTCATGCTATTATCTAATCCTCTTTCCTTAAATGTGGGCTGGACCTAGTGACTTGCTTCTAACGAATAAAACAGGGCAAAAATTATGGAGTGATGGGATGCGACTTCTGTGATTGGGTAACAAAAAACTATACCTTCTCAGGCCGGGCAACCTAGTAACACCCTGTCTCTACCAAAAAAAAAAAAAAAAAGAAAGAAAGAAAGAAAAGAAAAGAAAAGGAAAGAAAAGAAAAGAAAAGAAAAGAAAACATTAGCCTAGCACAGTGGCACATGTCTGTAGTCCCAGACACTTGGAAGGCTGAGGTGAGAGGATTGCTTGATCCAGGGAGTTTGAGGCTGCAGTGAGCCCTGATCGTACCACTGCACTCCAACCTGGGGAACAAAGCAAGACTGTGTCTCAAAAAAACAAAAACAAAAACAAACTGACATTCTTTCTATTGCCTTCTCATCCTGTGCACCTTGACAAAGCAAGTTGTCATGTTAGAGGTCCACGTAAAAAAGATAAGGAACTAAGGGTAGGTTCCGCCCAATATCTAGCAAGAACAGAAGCGCTCAGTCCAACAACTTACAGGGAGCTGAATCCTGCCAACAATCAAGCAAGTGAGCTTGGACATGGATTTTTCCTTAGTTGAGCCTTGAGGAAGCTACAGACTCCAGAAGCAACTGAACCTAGCTAAGCCATTCCTGGGTTTCTTACCCAGAAAAATTTTGAGAAATAAATGTTCTTGTTTTATATCTCTAAGCTTTGGGGTGATAGCTACGCAGTGATAAATAACCACTACACTTTATTCCTTCAGAGATGAGTTGCAGAGAGTAGCAGTATTCTAGAGTAGTTATTAATCTCATGCTTTTGGGACTCTCAAAGCATCTCTCGTTCCCTTCTTTCCTGAGACTTACTTTTTCAACTGTATTTTCATTCTTTAAGATATTCTATTCAGTTTCCAATACATTCATTAAACCAGACAGATTTCATTTTTGTTGATAACAATCTAAACAGCCTTTAGCTGTTATTGTTTAATTTCATGTTAAGCTTTATTTTTATTATTATTTCAATTCCTGTAATTTTTAAATGATTCAATAAAGTGGATGATTTTCCTTTTTTTACCCCATGATCACCTAACTTGGTCTTAATAAATAAACTGTGCCAAAATAGTCATAATTTGTATAATAAACCTACAGATGTAATTTATCAATTCCTGTGACATCTAAGCTTTTATCTTATGTTTTGCCACCATTATATATTTTTTTAATTGGAATCCTTCCCTATCTGTGATTGTTGGTGAAATTCTATGTGGTATAGCCAGCAGTTATCACTAGAGCAATCTGGAATGTTATTCAGAATGTGAGAAAATAATTTCCAGCATATCTATCAATTGGAAAAAGGATCTTTAATTATTTGATATCAAATTCATAACAGCATGGCTATAGACCTATGCATGATCACTTGGGAAACCAAAGACCATAAATGAGGAGTTCAAATTTTTTTGTTTTAAAGACAAGAAAAGTCAATCAGCAACCCAGATCTTCTGGTTCTTTGTGTTGTGTTTTATCTATGCTCCTCTTCAAATTTCTATGCTGATTTTATCAAGTGACATGAAAACATTATTTACAATTTTCTTTCTTCCTCTCTCTCTCTCTCCTTTTCTTTTCTTTTTTTTTTTTTTTTTTTTTTTGAGATGGAGTCTCACCCTGTCGCCCAGACTGGAGTGCAGTGGTACGATCTGGGCTCACTGCAACCTCCTCCTCCCGGGTCCAAGAAATTATCATGCTTCAGCCTTCCAGGTAGCTTGGACTATAGGCACATACCACCGTGCCCAGCTAATTTTTGAATTTTTAGTAGAGACAAGGTTTCACCATCTTGGCCAGGCTGGTCTTGAACTCCTGGCCTCATGTGATCCACCCGCCTTGGCCTCCAAAGGGCTAGGATTACAGGGGTGAGCTACCATGCCAGGCCACAATTGTTTTTTATTTGGGAAAGTTAAGACAAAATATTTACCTGCTAACATTCTAACAGCTGCCTCTCTTTTCAAAAGCTTGGCTATTCCCCTTGATGAAAGATTCCTACCACTCTACAATATGTCTATTGATTCAAATCATTCTCAGCAAACTATCCTAAGGACAAAAAGACAAACACCACATGTTCTCACTCATAGGTGGGAATTGAACAATGAGAACACATGGACACAGGAAGGGGAACATCACACATTGGGGCCTGTTGTGGGGTGGGGGGAGGGAGGAGGGATAGCATTAGGAGATATATCTAATGTTAAATGACGAGTTAATGGGTGCAGCACACCAACATGGCACATGTATACATATGTAACTAACCTGCACGCTGTGCACATGTACCCTAAAACTTAAAGTATAATAAAAAAAAATTAACGTGAAAACTATTGCTTTCTCCTGCATTCCATCTCCAGGGAAAAGTAGTTCTGTTAAGGTGTTAAGAGCCCCTTGACTGTACCATAGTGTCTGAGGATGGAGCTTTGGAGTTGATGAGAGAAGCAGTTAGCCTCTGAGCTTAATCACAGCAGATTCTATTTCAGTACTTTATGCATGTGGAGGTCACAATATCCTGGACCACATGACAGTAGGTACCTCCTGAACCTATCTCTTCATCCCCGTTGAGATGACATTTTGAAAAGAGAATAAAACCTACTGGAAAGGAGAAAATATAAGCCTATCTAATCACAGTTCACGGGATCCTCAGAGCTCTGTACACTGCACCATGCCTCACTACAGTTAAGACTCCACACTGGAGCTTGAGGAAAAAACCCTAGGAAATAAAGTATTTCCTCACATAGTCTTGTTGTCCATTCATACATTATTCTCTTCAAATTTTATTAAAAGGCAACCACTAAAATCTTGGATGACTACTATTCTTCTGTGAAATCCTAAAACACACATACCTTACATTTGGTGTAATTTGGTGAAACGGTGAGAATATACATTAAATAAAGGACAAAACTTTGAAACACAAAGTATGAAAAATAAAAACAAAGTTTCATTGTGTTTTTGTCTGACTCTAAATCATGGGAGCCCAGCTGTGGTTATCTTTGGTCTGAATTCAAGGTGGATCTTTTGACCAGGTCCTCTATAGGAAAAAATCTCCTTTTCCTATTGCAATATTTTATAATCCTTTGCCAATTCAGGGCCTTTTTGGCCTCCTTACAACCCCATCCACCAATTTAGCAGTGCCTTCTTTGAACATTATCAAGAGACAAGAGAAAAGTAAGCTTTAACTTAACCATTAGCTAATTAGAGCTATTTGCTTGGAAAATTTTCTTTGCATGTTTTTCCTCTTGATCTCTCAACATTTTGTGATATTCAGTTTTATAGCCCTAGTCTTGCTTGGATCACTCCTATGTGTGCAACATTAATATAGCAAAAAATAATGTTCAAATAAGAGAAATCATATGCAGTAACTGGGATAAAAGATAAAGGCAAATCATTCCAAGAAAAAAAAAGTCATGGGCTATCACTAGGTAGTTATTTTAATAGATAAGGAAATAAAGATGATAAAAAGAGTGCCCGCTTGGACATTAAGATGGGAACAGTAGACACTGAGGAATACAAGAGAGGAGCGGGGGAGGGAGACAAAGGTTGAAAAACTTCCTATCGTGTACTATGCTCACTACCTGGGCTCACTACAGGTACAATTGTACTCCAGACCTCAGCATTGCACAGTATAACTTTGTAACAAATCTGAACATTTACCCTGTGAATCTAAAATAAAAGTTGTAAAACAGAAAGAGTCCTAGAATCCTGCTTTATCTTGAAGTGGCTTTGATTTCAGGACGCTACTGTTTGGGCTTTGAGTCAGAAAATCTCTCCCAATGCTGAAGAAATCTATCTTTGATACAGAAAAAAAGCTCTTATATTGATCTTTATTTTATTGTATTATGCAGAGCAGGCTATTTGCTAATGCAAATAATTTCCAAATCTCAGTGGCTTAGTAAAATAGGATTTTATTTTTTACTTATGTGAAATCCAATAGGATGGAGGGAAAGGACAAATGTTCTGCTTCACGAAGTCTCTCGGGAACCCAGGATCCTTTTATTGTATAGTCCCACAGTTCTCAAGGGCCTTGTAGTCCTCAGCTGATTCCTCTTTGACTGTCAGACAAGGGAAAAGAGACAAGCAAGCATGGAAGATCTCACTGAAGGTTTTTATGAGTCATGCCTGGATGTAGCACACATTGCCTTCGCTCATATGTCGACCATCAGACTGAAAAAGAGTCTAAGAAATGTCCTCTCATTGTGATCCCAGAAAGGAAAAGATGGGTTTACATAAACACATACTCTCTTCCACTCTTGTACTTATTGTGGCTCAAGTATTCATATTCATTTCCAGCTGGGCATGGTATGCCTGTAATCCCAGCATTTTCGGAGGCCGAGGCGGGTGTATCACCTGAGGTCAGGAGTTCGCGAACAGCCTGGCCAACATGGGGAAACTCTGTCTCTACTAAAAATACAAAAATTAGCCTGGCTTGATGGTGGGTACCTGCAGTCCTAGCTACTCATGAGGTTGAGGCAGGAGAATCACTTGAACCCAGGAGGTGGATGTTGCAGTGAGCCCAGATAGCGCCACTGCACTCCAGCCTGCGTGACAGAGCAAGACTCTGTGTCAAAAAAAAAAAAGTATTCATATTCATTTCCAATGTAATGAAAGACTCCCTTCACAATTGCCAGAACCCGTATATACAGTTTTCTGATTTTCAGATGGATGCATTTTATATCAGAATCTTCTTGTCTTTTTTCCCCTCTGTCTCTAGCCAAGTTCTAAGACAGCAGGTTATTACTAAATTTTGATAATAGCATGGATTTAAGGGGACCCAGATCCCAGAGTATGAGTTCCAGCACAGTTCTTTTCTGGAGTCTATCAATAAAGATAAAGAGAAATGGGAATCACTAGTACGTAAAAGTTGTGCCCTCTCCTTGTACCGAGGTGAAGAAAAATTAAGTGAATTAATTAAAAATTCAATAGCTATTAAGAAAAGTAAATGGTCTATATCCAACACTGTGACTCTAGTTATCAGAATTACTGATAGGCAAAGGGAGAGTCACAATCAGCAAGTAAGAAGGCTGGCAACAGGCCTGGCGTGGTGGCTCACGCCTGTAATCCCAGCACTTTGGGAGGCCAAGGCAGGTGGATCACTTGAGGTCAGGAGATTGAGGCCAACACAGCAAAACCCCGTCTCTACTGAAATTACAAAAAAAAATTTAGCCAGGTGTGGTGATGCACGCCTGTAGCCCAACCTACTTAGGAGGCTGAGGCAGGAGAATCCTTTGAACCCCGGAAGCGGAGATGGCACTGAGCCACCACTATACTCTAGCCTAAGTGACAGAGCGAGACTGTCACCAAAAAAAAAAAAAAAAAAAAAAAAAAAAAAGGGCTGGCAACAGAAAACAGTTGTTGGCATTTTATAAGAAAACTATCAGAAACCTAAGGAGTAAGAAAATCTTATACAAGGTTTTGGTCTATCTAAAACATGAGCTGTGGGAAATAGTAAAAGAAAGGAAGACATTCAAACTCAGCATACATCAGTTTTACACAAAGTCTACCAAGAAGCACATTGTAGTGTTAAAATCTCAACTGGCGTTTTCAAAAGGGCATTGAAAAACACTAAAGTAGAAAAGAAATGAATTTCTAGAGGCAGTCTAATCAGATTTCACTGATATATGTAATAAGCTAAAGATGCAAGGAATATTTCTGCTGCAACTAGAGTAGAAAAGGTTTCCGAAGGTCAGGAAATTCAAGGAAAACAATGTTTGAGGGCGAAGCATATGCAGATACTGACACTGGACCCTAAGGCACAGGTTTAGAAAGCAAAAGGAGGCCGGGTGCAGTGGCTCACGCCTGTAATCCCAGTACTTTGGGAGGCCAAGATGGGTGGATCACCTGAAGTCAGGAGTTCGAGACCAGCCTGGCCAACATGGTGAAACCCTGTCTCTACTGAAAATACAAAAATTAGCTGGGTCTTGTGGCAGGCGCCTGTAATCCTAGCTACTCAGGAGGCTGAGGCAGGAGAATCGCTTGAACCCAGGAGGCGGAGGTTGCAGTGAGCCAAAATTGCGCCATTGCACTCTAGCCTGGGAGACAAGAGCAAGACTCTGCCAAAAAAAAAAAAAAAAAAAGCAAAAAGAATAGCACACACACCCCATTCCTAAGTCTATTCTCCAGGAGGGACAAATGTAGACCCAGAAAGAAAAGCTTCCCTGGGAGGGAGAATCCAGAGTCTAAGGAATTCAGGAGTTGGGGGGCTGAAGCTGCAGCTATTGTTACACAGTAATTTAAATGTCAGCAAATGGCTAAGGAACATGGTATGGTGGTTCTTCTGAGAATAGAACACTTCAAGGAGGGGAGCAAGAATTTGGGAGAAGAGGAAATGCAAGGCCATAAGTAATACTAATCTTTGTAGTAAGTAAAATTCTGAGTTCATGAAGGAGTGGAAATTCTAGCCCTAGTGACGGACCACAATCAATAAAAAACTGGGATGCCAAGAACTCTGGTCTAAAGGGGAACTGTGAATTAAGACCAATGGACAATAAATGACATAAAAGGGAAAAATAGCATCAATAAAGATAAATTGTTGAATACTACCTTACACATTTTTTTTTTGAGATGAAGTCTTGCTCTGTTGCCCAGGCTGGAGTGCAGTGGTGAGATCTTGGCTCACTGCAACCTTTGCCTCCTGGGTTCAAGCAATTTTCCTGCCTCAGCGTCCAGAGTAGCTGGGATTACAGGCGCCTGCCACCATGCCTGGCTAATTTTTTGTATTCTTAATAGAGATAGGGTTTCACCATGTTAGCCAGGCTGGTCTCAAACTCCAGACCTCAGATGATCCGCCTGCCTCGGCCTCCCAAAGTGCTGGAATTACAGGCATGAGCCACCACACCCGGCCCCTTATACATTTGTTTAAGATAAGGATATTTTAATAAATTTCTCTTAATTTATGTATGCATATGCAGGGCAGATTTCACAAAGCTATTGCCCTCTCTTTTGTTTTATTGTTCCCTCAGAATATAAGAAGCAGAGTAAGTACAACAGCTAATCTCTCAGTGAGAGATTTCTCTCATATGAGGTTTCAATTCATAGACACCGGACTTGGGAAATTGACAGGAATCCTGGAAAAGCTAACATAAACCAAAAAAAAAATTGCTATCTTAAACGGTTATTTTTCCTTCTTAGTTTGTCCCTCAGTTAGGACAAGGTCTTTGGTGGAACACGCTTTTGTTTATGGGAATATGTTTAGATTTTAGGGGCTGCCAAGGTCCTGTGGGTCCAGGGCACTTTGTGAATGAAGTGTGGGGCTGGTGTTGTGATGTTCTCGTATGTCTTTGCGGTCTCTCTAGGACTTTAATAGAATGTGGGAGAGTTTTCTAGTTGGAAGTAGTCCCAGTGGAGGTGCCCAAAATACTCCACTACTTCTACGGAAGGGAGTATGTGCAACTGCTGACCCTGTTTCTCTACCAAGACGTCTATGTGAGTTGTCCGTTGACTGACACTCAGTAAAATAAGGAGGAAATGCAGGAGAGAAGATGCTTTTAGACATAATTTGGATCCTTAATTTATCTCATTTCAGTTGTTAAATTTCCCAGCGGTAGAAACAGGTTTATACGATAACATGAAGGGTTAATATTGTTAAAATGTATAGGTTTGGTGGCAAATTTGGGGCATTTGAAATGCTGGTCTTATATTATCTGGGCTCTACCTTGAGCTGCCACATCTCCTATAAACTTGTCTAGTGAGTAGGTAGGAGAAGGGGAAACAGAAGCATGGATAATTATCCTGATGTATAGTATGCCCTTGGGGTCACTCAATTAATTCCTGTACTGACCCATTTTATAGGCTTTAGAGAACAGTATCAAAAGGGATTTTGATGAAGGCCTAAGGGGATGATCTGCCATTCTAATTGGTCCCTGCAAGACTATAAGCTCTGTAAAAGTCAAAATTAGGAAATTTTAATTACATAGACATACTTTAGTTATAAAAATGTAGGTTAAATCATATTTATAGACATACAAACTTGAATGCAAATGCTCTGTGGAAAATTTCCTCATGAACAAGACAAAAAAATTGAAAGAGGAAGAATATATATATATACGTCTTGTAACCACAGGAGTAATATAAATGAAGATATTAGCTAGATGGAAAATCGTTTTTTGAAAGATGAAATGTGCATACTTGGTTTCTTGTCAATGTTGATTAAGAGACCTTTTTTATATTTGTCAATAATTAGGGCAACAAAATAGGACTTTCTGGTCAGTTTGTCTGATTACACGTCTTCTAAATATAAGACTTCAAACATTTGATTTCGTTAAGCATTTCTGTGATAGGATGTTATATCTCTTTGCTTAAATTATATATTTGCTTTAAACCTTGAATTTTCTTTCTCACCTTGTATATAATCTTGCTAACTTTGTTTAAACTCATTCCCTATTATTTACTCTGTGTTTCAATCTTTTGTTAGACTGAGACAATTTTGGTCTCCTTCAGAATTCTTGTTTTTTTTAAGTCCCCTCTGACTGATCTGACCTCTGTATAATTTGAAGCCTAATTTAATTCAGTTGCTCCCTGAGAGCTGAACCCAGATTTGTTTTGCCCTCATCACTGCATTCCTATTGCTTAGCAAAAATTAAGTGACCAGACTTTCAAATCACATGATTACATGTAATTTTGATAGACGCGGGAGGAAGATAAGGGGGAGGGTCCCTGGAGAATCTCGCACTGGCCTGGGAACTGGGAGAACAGGGTGGAGCCACAGGAAGTTCCCGCCGTTTGCGGAGGGGAGGAGCCTGGCCTCTCCTGTCCCTGTGTGTTGACCTGGGATTCAATCTGTGAGATGGCGGCCTGTTAACAGGAACCCCTCTCGCTTTGCTGAGAGGTTTTTTTCCTTTTCACCCAAAAAATGCCGTTCCCCTTCATCCTTCAAAGTGTCTACGTGCCTAACTTTTCCCCGTTGTGTGACAAGAACTCGTTTTTTTCTACATTTTGTTAAAACATTTAGTCATGGGACCACATAAAGGTAGAAGGAGGCATTTTCTGTTAATCCATTGATCATTTTCCTGTCCTAAATGGTTCAACAATGTCTCCCGCTGACTACTAGTCTTGTTGAGATTATTAAAGGAAAGAATCAAAGGTAGGGGAAAGTTGACTTCTGAAGGCTGCCCAGGCTCTTTTTTGTGTCCCATTGTCACTGGTTCTATAAGAATGAGTTAGGATCAAGGATATACATTGAGCCACAGTGCTAGTGTGTCCGGAATTGGCAGGCTGTTGGTCTCACTAACTTTAAGAATGAAGCCGCGGACCCTTGTGTTGAGTGTTACAGTTCTTAAAGATGGTGTGTCCAGAGTTTGTTCCCTCTGATGTTCGGACGTGTTTGGAGTTTCTTTCTTCTGGTGGGTTCATGGTCTCACTGGCTTTAGGAGTGAAGCTATAGACCTTCGCAGTGAGTGTTACAGCTCTTAAGGCGGTGCGTCTGGAGTTGTTCGTTCCTCCCCTCCGGAGTTGTTTATTTCTCCCAGTGGGTTCGTGGTCTCGCTGGCCTCAGGAGTGAAGCTGCAGACCTTTGCGGTGAGTGTTACAGTTCATAAAAGCAGTGCGGACCCAAAGAGATTTATTGCAAAGAGCGAAAGAGCAAAGTTTCCACAGTGTGGAAGGGGACTCAAGCAGGTTGCCACTGCTGGCTGGGGGCAGCCTGCTTTTATTCCCTTATGTGGCCCCACCCACATCCTGTTGATTGGTTCATTTTACAGAGAGCTGATTGGTCTGTTTTACAGAGAGCTGATTGGTTTGTTTTACAGAGAGCTGATTGGTCTGTTTTGACAGGGTGCTGATGGGTGCGTTTACAATCCCTGAGCTAGACACAAAAGTTCTCCAAGTCCCCACTAGATTAACTAGACACAGAGCACTGATTGGTGCATTTACAAACCTTGAGCTAGACACAGGGTGCTGACTGGCGTGTTTGCAAACCTTGAGCTAGACACAGAATGCTGATTGGTTTATTTACAATCCTTTAGCTAGACATAAAGGTTCTGCAAGTCCCCACCAGATTAGCTAGATAGAGAGTGCTGATTGGTGCATTTACAAACGTTGAGCAAGACACAGGGTGCTGATTGGTGTGTATACAATCCTCCAGCTAGACATAAAAGTTCTCCAAGTCCCCACTAGACTCAGGAGCCCAGTTGGCTTCACCTAGTGGATCCCACACTGGGCCGCAGGTGGAGCTGCCCACCAGTACCGCGCCTTGCACCCGCACTCCTCAGCCCTTGGGCGGTCAATGGGACCGTGTGCCGCGGAGCAGGGGGCGGCGCTCATTGGGGAGGCTCAGGCCGCACAGGAGCCCATGGCAGCAAGGAGGCTCGGGCATGGCGGGCTGCAGGTCCTGAGCCCTGCCCCACGGGGAGGCAGCTGAGGCCCGGCAAGAATTTGAGCGCAGCTCCAGTGGGCCTGCACTGCTGGGGGACCTGGTGCACCCTCCGCAGCTGCTGGCCCAGATGCTAAGCCCCTCACTGCCCGGGGCTGGTGGTGCCAGCTGGCTGCTCTGAGTGCGGGGCCCGCTGAGCTTACGCCCACCCAGAACTCACGTTGGCCCACGAGCACCGCACACAGCCCCGGTTCCCGCCCACGCCTCTCCCTCCACACCTCCTCACAAGCAGAGGGAGACGGCTCCAGCCTCGGCCAGCACAGAGAGGGGCTCCCACAGTGTAGTGGCGGGCTGAAGGGCTCCTCAAGCATGGCCAGAGTGGGCACCAAGGCCGAGGAGGCGCCAAGAGTGAGCAAGGGCTACCAGCACACTGTCACCTCTCACTAGGGCCATGAGATTTGTAGCTTTGTAGAATCTCCTTCCCTTCCACAAAGCTGAAGGAATAAGAATGCCAGGTTTCCTTACCCTGAGACGGTCTAGGTTGAGGACATGGGCTTTGATAGGAAAAGGTAGACACTGTCCTCTCCTGTCATTATGGTAACTAATTTCTAGTTAGATTATGATTATCTCTATCACGTATTTAACCCTGGACTTGTCTTTCTTTATCATGAGCCAAAATTCCTTACCTTTCCATTAATGTTGAAGGCCATTTAGCCTTACATCTGGTATAGGCAGTAGGAAGCATCATCCAAAAATATCCTTCCTGACTCACTAAACATTGGGGTATGAGTCAAAAGCCTTATAGTGATAGTATGCAAGCCACCTAAAATGCCACTTCTACCAAGAAAATTTCCCCAAAGTACTCATTCAGAATTAACCAGGTCTTCCCTTGAAGCATACTAGTAAGCTTGTATCTCTATGTGACAGTTAATTGTATTCAATACACTCTAATATTGTGTCTGGAGTTGGTTCCTGCCGGTGGGTTCGTGGTCTCGCTCATTTCAAGAGTGAAGCTGTGGACCTTCATGGTGAGTGTTACAGCTCCTAAAGGTGGCACGGAGCCAAAGAGTGAGCAGTAGCAAGATTTACCATGAAGAGCAAAAGAACAAAGCTTCCATGGCGTGGAAGGGGACCTGAGCGGGTTGCCACTGCTGGCTGGGGTGGCCAGCTTTTATTCCCTTATTGTCCCCTCCCATGTTCTATTTTTGTCCTATCAGAGTGCATTTTTTTTCAATCCTCCCCATGATTGGCTACTTTTAGAATCCTGCTGATTGGTGCATTTTACGGAGAACTGATTGGTGTGTTTTACAATCCTCTTGTAAGACAGGAAAGTTCCCCAAGTCCCCACATGACCCAGGAAGTCCAGCTGGCCTCACCTCTCAATATCATACTTACTATACACAGGACACTGCTCTAAGAGCTTTACAAATATTAACAAGTTCAACTCTAAAATATTTAATGCTATTCTTACCCCCAATTTGAATATGACAGAATTGAAGCCTAGAGACATGAAGTAATTTGCTCAAAGTCACAAAGCTAATAATTAGCAGGCAATGGAACTCCAACACCTGTGTTCTTAACCATTAAACTATGCTCCCTCACACTTACCTTGATATGTCTACAGCATCAACAATTGTACATATTCTCCAAAGTTTATGGCTTTTTTCAAAGAATATTGTCATGTGGTACATCTTCCCTCTTTCTCAGAAACTCTGGATTTAACTAAAATATAGTGAATTATTATTACTACTTATGTTGTTGATATGCTTTGGATTTGTGTCCCCACTCAAATTTCATGTTGAATTGTAATCCCTAGTGCTGAAGGCGGAGCCTAGTGGAAAGCGATTGGATCATGGGGGTGGTTTCTAATAGTTTAGCACCATCCCCCTAGCGCCGTCTCGTGACAGAGTTCTCACGAGACTTCATTGTTTGAAAGTCTGTAGCCCCTCCCTCGTCAGGCTCTCTCTCTCTCCTGCCAGCCCTGTGAAGATGTGTCTGCTTCCCCTTTGTCTTCTGCCCCGATTGTAAGTGTCCTGAGGCCTCCCCAAAAGCAGAAGCCTGTATAGCCCACAGAACCATGAGAACAATTCAACCTCTTTTCCTTATAAATTACCCAGTCTCAAGTAGTTCTTTTTATCTGTGCAAGAATGGACTAATACAGTTGCATTTTTATTTAATAATAAAAATATTTAATAATAAAAACAATTTAAACTAAACTTTATCGAGAGGATACTATAGGCCCAATAGTCCAATATTTAAGAATATATTACTATATTCTTATATATAGAATACCTTGTAATTATCACAATAACCCCATACAATTATTATTATCACTCTATTTTAGGACCAGGATTGAGCCTAGCCCAGGCTATATGCCATGTATATATGGTAGCCAATGTGCTATAATGCCTCACATAAGACAAACATCAAGCAGGCAGACTGTTTCTGTGCTAAGAATTCCTCAGCATATGAAACTGGAAGTGTGCATGGCTGCAGACCTCAGGTGTCATCTTTGTCTGATGTTCTAGAATCCCACTGAAGACACACACTCCATTCTCTATTCATTATTCCCTCTTCTGAGGGCACAGATCCTTTCTTAGATGTTTGCCTCAATATCTGCTACAGGCGCCTCCTTCCCCATAGCTGTAGGACACGCTGTTCCTGAGGGCTGTTTAGGGATAGTTTTAATTTTTATTTCTTTTTGTTTTGACCACTCATCCTCAAACTCTATAGGTATATTTTCTAATCCATAGGTCTGCATCAAAATACTTTTCCCAATTTCAAAGGAAATAATGGAGGAGATCTTAATTCATTTGGAGCCTATTTTTTCTCTTTCCTTATTTTCTTCCTCTTTTTTCTTCACTGGATAACTTTTTACTTAAATATTCAACTAGCTTTACCCAAATTGTTTTCCAAATTTAACTTTGTGAAAATAGTTCTCAAAAACATCTTACTTCTGTTTAGCTTTATTGTAGGAAGGCAGTATAATCTTGTGGCTAGTGTCTAGAATCTAGTCACAAATTTTAGGTTCACCATTGACCTGGGACACACTAATTAGCCTCTAATAAAGCCTCGCTTCTCTTATGTATAAAATGGAGAGAATGGGTAACTATAACACTGTCTTCATTGGGTTGTGGTTAAGATTGTTTAAAAGATTATCCAGTGAAAGAGCTTAGCATGTTGCCTGGCCTATGATGAGTGTTCAGTAATAATTAGCTGCTGTTACTTC
Organism: Homo sapiens; assembly: GCF_000001405.40. Classification (NCBI taxonomy): domain Eukaryota; kingdom Metazoa; phylum Chordata; class Mammalia; order Primates; family Hominidae; genus Homo; species Homo sapiens. Next base: position 104,366,242 of record NC_000009.12, read on the forward strand.
TGCTGTAGCTATTTCACACTACATTATACTTAGTCATGGCCTCTAGGTGCACATTGAAATCACTTGGGAAGGCTTACCAACCACTGATGCTTGCGTCTAACTACCAGGGATTCTGATTTAGTTGCTTTGAGACAGATTACAAAAAACTTTAAGTTCCACAGAGTCTCAGCATAATACTTTGTACATAGTAGTTGAATTATACATAGTCAGTGAATAAAGTGATATGTATATTTGCAAATTCACACAGTGGAGCTCAAACACTCAGCAATCTTTAGCTAAAGTTTGGAAGGTATTTATTTATTTATTTACTTATTTCTTCACTTCTTACAAGTAGCCAGATTTCAGAGGGATAGAGAAAGAGCAGCAAGGGGAGGAGGGGAATCTATCTCATCAGCAAAACACACAAAATCAATCAGTCAATCAGTCAATCAATTAATCGGGTGATATATCCTTTACCAGGACCACATTCACAGTTACATGGATGAGGATCCCAAAATATTCTAAAATGTTATTCTTGGACACGCTGTTACTTATAGTAGTCCTGGATTGATGAGCTAATTATGTGGGATTCTACGGTTAGAAAACCTGGTTTCTCATTCAGGTACCACCATTTGCCTGTAAGTTCTTGAATAAGTCTCTAATCTTCCTTCAGGTTCAGATTCTTCATTTGTAAAAGAGGATTAAGGTCTACTTTACATGGTTCCCGAAATGATTCACTGAGATATTCAGTATTAACCATTTTGTACACTGATAAAAGTTATACATATTGAACGTTTTTTCAATATATTTTCTTTCCTCTGTCTGACATTCTAGTCTTATATTCCACCAGTCCCTCCTCTTTTTCCTTATCCCTCATTTAAAGCACTATGAAGAATTTCTTCCCTATTGATGTGGATGCTTCTCCACCTCCTCAGCCCCCGAAGGTCAGGGACTGGCTTTATTTAGTTCTGTATTCCCAGAACCCAGCTCATTATCCAGTACATAAAAGGTGTTAATAAATGTCTGACAAAAGAACAAGTGGAAATCAAGAAACCATAATTATACGCAAATACATTTCTACCAAAGCCTTTTCAGTGGAAGAAAATTGTTAGGTTACACAAAGCCATGTGGAGAGAAACAACTCCAACCCTCAATTTAACTTTGATGTTTAACATTGACTATTGTTTTGAGGGGAAGATTTTAGAAGCTGTCATATCAGACTCACAATTCACTCAAGTCTCATTTATGAGGTGTGATAAAACTCAGAATTTAAGACCTTGGCTAATTAACTAAGTGTGCTTTCCATTTCAATCCCTGTTACCATCAAATATTTGAATTAGCATTTAATGTTTATTTTGAGTTATCACTGCTATTCCTGGACTTTTGAAACTCAGTTAGAAATGTTTTTCATTTCCTTCCAGCCTAACCAAAAGAGAAGCATTTACCCTCATCACAGGAGAGGCATTTCAGGTCAAACATTCCTTAAACAGAATTAGTGTTAATATAGATTCATTCCTATCTTAACTTACATCATTAAGTAAACACTTAGCATTCACTACCTCTTACTTTCCACCACTAAATGCCATAGTGAAGCCAAATAATTGCATGAGTCTTTTTTATATGCAAAATAAGTGGGATTTCCCTCCCCTGTTTTATTCCCCACTCTTTGATGTCCTCTACTATCCAAGTTACCTCTGTAATAATGAAGGATCAAAATATTACCCTAGAACTCTAGAGACCTTTGCTTTGTTTTTCAGCTACATCCTAGATCAGTTGCTGAACTTTAATGTGCCTGCAAACTATCTGGAAATCTTAAAATTCATAGGTGTGTGGTGGGGTCTGAGATAATGCATTTCTTTTTTTGAGACAGAGTCTCGCTCTGTCACCAGGGTGGAGTGCAGTGGCGTGATCTCCGCTCACTGTAATCTCTGCCTCCCGGGTTCAAGTGATTCTCCTGCCTCAGCCTCCCGAGTAGCTGGGATTACAGGCATGTGCCACCATGCCCAGCTAATTTTTGTATTTTTAGTGGAGACAGGGTTTCACCATGTTGGCCAGGATGATCTTGATCTCCTGACCTCATGATCCACCTACCTCAGCCTCCCAAAGTGCTGGGATTACAGGCATGAGCCACTGTGCCCGGCTGAGATAATGCATTTCTAACATGCACCTAGGCAATATTAATTGAGGAACCACAGTTTTAGTGTTAATAGTAAGATTTTAGATAATTTCAATTCATTACAATTATTTGAATTTGCTTCTCTGCATTCCTTGCTTCTTTTTATTATTTATTTATTTATTTATTTATTTATTTATTTATTTTTTGAGACAGAGTCTCTCTCTGTTGCCCAGGCTGGAGTGGCATGATCTCCGCTCACTGCAGCCTCTGCCTCCTGGGTTCAAGCAATTCTTCAGTCTCAGCCTCCTGAGTAGCTGGGATTACAGGCGCCCATCACCACACCAGACTAATTTTTGTATTTTTTAAGTAGAGATGGGTTTTCAGCATGTTGGCCAGGCTGCTCTCAAATTCCTGACCTCAGGTGATCCGCCTGCCTCAGCCTCCCAAAGTGCTGGGATTACAGGTGTGAGCCATGGCACCCGGCCCCTTGCTTTTTTATGCTATGCTTATGGCCATTCACTTATTCCCTAGACTTGCAATAATGTTCCTTGGATAGAGACTTTGGGTTGTCCAGTTGACTACAGTTTAGATTCTGTTTGCCCCAGCTCCATAGTTTGCCCTGGGAGCTCCTACCTCTCAGCCTAATAAAGACTCATCTCTGAGAAAAGTACCACAAACAGGAAGGAGATATTTAGTAGGAGTGAATGCTGAGACAAATTAATTAGTCTGAGTCTGAAATTCTTCATGTGTTTGAGGGAAGTGCGCATCAAGTTTGAAGAAAGATGTGTATGTAACTTGTACAAACCATCTCTTAATTCTTGAAAAAATGTGCTTCATGTTTTCAAATTTACTAATTATATTATTCAAATTTTCTGTGTCTCTCATTTCAATTGTATTTCAAACAAAGATGTGCATTTTGCTTTCAAATGTGTTTATATTATTTAAAATTTGTATGTCTATCACTTTAATTTTTAATCATTTAAAAAAGTTTGTTTATTTTATATATTTTATAGCTTGCTATTTAAAACTGAAGAAAATGAGTCACTTGATACTGTATTTTTTCTTTTATAAATAAAATGGGTAGTTGAATTATGATATTCTGATGATACACTGTATGAAGGGGAAATCTTCCTAAAAGGCTAAGATATTATGACAGTCAGTTATCTTTAGAACAGGCAGCTCCTAAGATAAGGGACCTGGAAGAAAACAGGAAGTGATTAACAATTAAGGCAGAATTTAGGTAAGAGGCATAACTGCTATTAGATACCTCTTTAAGTTTTGTTCTCTTTAATTTGGACTTCTAATATAAATACGCTTTAATGTCTTTTTCTTCTACATTCTAACTATTTATGTGTTACTTGTGATATTCTCATTTATTATTACTAAAGTTGCACTTCTAATAAATCCTTGTTTAAAAACTAGCTTGGTTTCAGATGCACCAGGGGGAATTAAAAATGAGGAAATGGTAAATTAATGGAGGCTTGGGTCCTGGTTGAGGGGAAAAAAGAATTGGGGACCTCAAGGTCAGAGGCTCTAGCTGTGACACCAGACTTCAACAGCAGCTGCAAGAACAAGCAACTTCAAGGCATAACATGTTGCCCAGAGACTTGATGGGTAACGGACACATATAAGGAAGCTAATGAAGGTTCACAAGACAGCCATTACCCATCAACCTAACACCCCAAATGGTATGTATGCTACCCAAGAACTTATGTCTCTGCATCCACTACCACATAAATACAGAAAAAGACAGAGGGAAAAAGTAGAAATTGATTCAACTTGTGGTCAAGACGAAGTGTCTGAAATAGGCTTGATTTAACTAGAAACAGACTATTTCAAGCTGGAATAGACAGAAGCTACAGTAAGCAATTTAAGTTTCTGTCCTATGACCATGCAAGAATAGAAGGCTCAAGATTTGGGTAAGAGCTATTACAGAAATAAAGTTTTCAGGATTCAAATGTGGATATACTGCTCTTACCCTTCACCCTCTTTCAAAGTCAGTGTTTCGCAACTTTAGCTGTATATTTAAATTACCTGGGAAGTTTTAACAAATACTGATGCCTGGTCTAACCCCAAAGATTATTGATTTGGGGTAGTACTGGTCACATAGATTATTAAAGTTTTCATTGGGAGATTTTTCATGTGAAACCGATAATGAAAAGCACTTTACTAGATTGTTTCCTCCTATGAATAAACACCAGTTTTGATATTTCTGCTCCAGAGGTCTTACCTAAGATAAAGATTCATTCATTCAACTGCTGGAATCCAGGGGACAGTATGGTAAAATAGTTTATATTGGACTGTCTCCTGCTGATATGGTTTGGCTGTGTCCCCACCCAAATCTCATCTTGAAATCCCACATGTTGTGGGAGGTAATTGAATCTTGAGGCAAGTCTTTCCCATGCTGTTCTCCTGATAATGAATAAGTCTCACAAGATTTGATGGTTTTAAAAAGAGGAGTTCCCCTGCACAAGCTTTCTTTTCCTGCTGCCATCCGTGTAAGCCATGACTTGTTCCTCCTTGCCTTCCACCATGATTGTGAGGCTTCCCCAGCCATGTGGAACTGTAAGTCCAATTAAATCTCTTTCTTTTGTGAATTGCCTTTATCAGCAGGTTATGTCTTTATCAGCAGGGTGAAAACTGATTAATACAGTAAACTGGTATCAGTAGAGTGGGTCGCTGCTGAAAAGATACCCAAAAATGTGAAAGCCACTGGATCTAGAACAGTTTGGAGGGCTCAGAAGAAGACAGGACAATGTGGGAAAGTTTGGAACTCCCTAGAGACTTGCTGAATGGCTTTGACCAAAATGCTGATAGTGATATGGACAATAAAGTTGAGGCTGAGGCGGTCTCAGATGGAAATGAGGAACTTGTTGGGAACGGGAGCAAAGCAAAGGTGACCTTGTTATGTTTTAGCAAAGAGACTGGTGGCATTTTGCCCCTGCCCTAGAGATCTGTGGAACTTTGAACTTGAGAGAGACGATTTAAGGTATCTGGCAGAAGAAATTTCTAAGTAGCAAAGCATTCAAGAGTGACTTGGGTGCTGCTAAAGGCATTCAGTTTTAAAAGGGAGGCAGTGCATAAAAGTTTGGAAAATTTGCAGCCTGACAATGTGACAGAAAAGAAAACATCACTTTCTGCAGAGGAATCCAAGCCAGCTGCAGAAATTTGCATAAGTAATGAGGAGCCAAATGTTAATCCCCAGGACAATGGGGAAAATGTCTCCCAGGCATGTCAGAGGTCTTCATGGCAGCCTCTCCCATCAAAATCCCAGAGCTCTAGGAGGAAAAAGTGGTTCTGTGGGCTGGACCCAGGGTCACCTTGCATCCTAGCTTGGTGCCTTGCATCCCAGCCATTCTAGCCATGGCTGAAAGGGGCCAATATAGAGCTCGAACCATGGATTCTGAAGGTGCAAGCCTCAAGCCTTGGCAGCTTCCACGTGATGTTGAGCCTGCGAGTGCACAGAAGTCAAGAATTGACATTTGGGAACCTCCTCCTAGATTTCAGAAGATGTATGGAAATGCCTGGATGCCCAGGCAGAAGTTTACTGTAGGGGTGGGGTCCTCATGGAGAACCTCTGCTATGACAGTGCAGTAGGAAAACGTGGGTTGGAGCCCCCACACAGAGTCCCTGCTGAAACACTGCTAGTGGCACTGTGAGAAGAGGGCCACTGTCTTCCAGACCCCAGAATGGTAGATCCACTGACAGCCTGCACCATGCGCCTGGAAAAGCTGCAGATACTCAATGCCAGCTCGTGAAAGCAGCTGGGAGGGAGGCTATACCCTGCAAAGTCACAGGCGTGGAGCTTCCCAAGACCATGAGAACCCACCTTTTGCATCAGCATGACCTGGATATGAGATATGGAGTTAAAGAAGATCATTTTTGTGCTTTAAAATTTGAATGCCCTGCTGAATTTCGGACTTGCATGGGGCCTGTAGGCCCTTTGTTTTGGCCAATTTCTCCCATTTGGAATGGCTGTATTTACCCATTGCCTGTACCCCCACTGTATCTATGAAGTAACTAACCTGTTTTTGAGTTTACAGGCTCATATGTGGAAGGGACCTGCCTTGTCTCAGATGAGACTTTAGACTGTGGACTTTGGAATTAATGTGAAAATGATTTAAGACTTTGGAGGACTGTTGGGAAGGCATGAATGGTTTTGAAATATGAGGATGTGAGATTTGGGAGGGGCCAGGGGCAGAATGATATGGTTCGGCTGTGTCCCTTCCCAAATCACCTCTTGAAATCCCATGTGTTTTGGGAGGGACCCTGTGGGAGGTAACTGAATCATGGCGGCCAGTCTTTCTCACGCTGTTCTCCTGATAGTGATAAGTCTCAAGAGATCTGATGGTTTTAAAAAGAGCAGTTTCCCTGCACACACTCTGTCTCTCTCTTTTCCTGCTGCCATCCACGTAAGACATAACTTGCTCTGCCTTACCTTCTGCCATGATTATGAGGCTTCCCCAGCCATGTGGAATTGTAAGTCCAATTAAACCTATTTTTTTTTTTTTTTTTTGGTAAATTGCCCAGTCTCGGGTATGTCTTTATCAGCAATATGAAAACGGACTAATACACCTGCCAATAACAATCATAAACTCTGAGAAACGATATATATCTATGTCTACATCTGTATCAACTAAAAGTAGGCAGAAACTGGAGCTGACATGATACTTTAAAGAATGGAAGCACACTGGATGAAGTGCATGTGTAACTGGCTTTTCCTGCGATAGCACTCTGTTTGTTCAGTGCACAGAAGACAAGTTCAAGGAGAAAGCAGAAGCCTGAGGGCAGAGTTCAGGGGGGCTAGAACTTGGTGAAAAGAGGTAAGTGCATGGAATGATGAAACCACAGAGGGGACAGCCTGCAAATCTGAAGATGAACTTGCCCAAAATTTGGCTGCACATATATAAAGTGAGACTCCAGTGAATTCAGCAAGTTGGAAGGCTAAAATGCTAAGCAAGAATTCCAGTAGCTGCCTGGTGTGGGGGAGACACAATTTAGAGTTCAAGTTGTGCTTGATTAGAATATTTAAATCTCAGGCTTATCACTCATACCCCAGAAAGGCCACATCTGATAGTAGTAAAGATCATTCCTAAGACTAAAGTCTATACCTTAAGACTGACAGAAAAAATTAAATTAGAGCCACTCTAATAAAACCAAAAACAAACTTTCCACAGGATCAGTTTGGTCCACAACCAATTTAACTACCTACTATCACAAAATTAACAGTTTTTCAGAGGAAGTTTACCAAATCCAGAGTCTCTACAAAATATTGTCCAATGTACAATCAAAATTGCTGGACATATGAAGAAGTAGAAAGTTGTGACCCATATTCAAAAGAAAAATCAGTCAGTAAACCAGACACATAGATATACAAGATATTGGAACTAGCAAACAAGAAGTTAAAAAGAGTGGTATAGCTATATTAAGAAGTTAATAGATAAAAGGTGAATATAATGAATAAAGACATAGGAAATTTTATAAAACATATAGAAACTAAAAAAATGAATCAAATGGATATCCTGGAACTGAAAAATACAATACCGGAAATCAAAATTGGAAGTGCTTTCAGAATAAAAGTGTCAGTGAAATGGAAGACAGGTGAATAGAAGTTTCCAAACTTATACAAAGATTTTAAAATATGGAAAAAAAAAAAAAGAACAGAGGTTCAGTGGCTTGTGGTACATTCAGGTACAGTATAGGAGTTCCAGAAGAGGAGAGATATAATGAAGCAGAATAAATATTTGAAGGGATGGTGGTTGAACATTTCTCAAATGTGACGAAAAACATCAATAGATCCAAGCAACTCAGCAGACTCCCAGTAAGGTATATTCAGTAGCCAACTAATCACTTTAGTTTGGGTTTGTCATGGACCTTATGACTAGCAAGTTTAACCATTATCTTTTCATATTGTTTCTTTCTTTCTTTTTTTTTTTTTTTTTGAGGCAGAGTCTGCCCTGTCTCAGAGTACTGCTGGAGTGCAGTGGCGTGATCTCCCCTCACTGCAAGCTCCGCCTCCCGCGTTCACGCCATTCTCCTGCCTCAGCCTCCCCAGTAAGCTGGGACTACAGGCACAAGCCACCATGCCCGGCTAATTTTTTTGTATTTTTAGTAGAGACGGGGTTTCACCATGTTAGCCAGATAGTCTCGATCTCCTGACCTCGTGATCCGCCCTCCTCGGCCTCTCAAAGTGCTGCAATTACAGGCGTGAGCCACCACACCCGGCCTATGTTATTTCTATGACACTTCTCACCCTTCAAAGCTGTCTCTTCATTCCTCAATGTTTCTTATTTTAGTAAATGGTACCACATTCACCCTATTATTCAAAATAAAACCCTGGAAGTCATCTGTCGTAGTTTTGTTTGGCTGCTGTATAAATCCTCATAAACTTAGTGTTTTTAAATAACACAAACGTATTGCCTTATGGTTCTAGAAGCCAGAACTCCAAAATGGATTTCACCAGGACACAGTCAAGGTGTCAGCAGGACAGTGCTCCCTCTCAGGCTGCAGGGGAGAGTCTATTTTCTTGCCTCTTCCACTCTGTAATAGATACAAGTGTTCTCTGGCCTGCGGCCATGTCCTCTATCCTCAAAGTCAGTGGCATAACATCTCTCTCTGACTCTGCTTCCCTCTGCTTATGGCACATGGCCTTCTTCTCTTCTGTGTCAAATCTCCTTCTGCTTCCCTCGGATAACAACACTTGTGATTGCATTTAGGCCTCACTTGGATAATCCAGATTAATCTGCCCCATCTCAAGATCCATAATTTAATCACATCTGCCAAGTCTCTTTTTGCCATAGAAGATAACATTCACAGGTTCCAAGTGTTAGGACCTGGATATGTTTGGGGGCCATTATTCAGGCTGTCATACCATCTTGTGTTGTTCCTCTCCCATGCCAACTTTTTTTTTCATAAGCAATTCTTTTTGGTTCTACTTGCAAAATACACTTTAGAATCCATCCTCTTCATCTCCACCGCTCTCTCTCTAATCCAAGCTACCACTAATTATCACCCAGAAAAAAAGTTCCCTCTGGAGGAAACACACTGCCTCCAGATCTCCTTACTATAATCTCCTTCTCATACTTTAGAACATCAAATATCTTTACTTTTAAAGAGGGCTTAGATGATAATATCTAAAGAGCCCCAGTTTACTCTGTTTATCTCCTTCAAAGCATCGCACACATTTAAAAATCAACATCTTGATTTATTTCCTCTGTCAGTTTCAATCAAGAAAAAATATCCTTTTAAGATTTTAAACAGAAAGAATTGGTAACCCTAGTGCTGGGAAATTAGAAGAGCAAAAATGAGGAGGAATCCTGAATAAATGAGAGAGGGGGCCGAGTGCAGTGGCTCACGCCTGTAATCCCAGCACTTTGGGAGGCTAAGGTGGAAGGATCACTGGAGGTCGGAAGTTTGAGATCAGCCTGGCCAACATGGTGAAACCCCGTCTCTATTAAAAATACAAAAATTAGCCAGGCATGGTGGAGTACGCCTGTAATCCCAGCTACTCAGGAGGCTGAGGCAGGAGAATCCCTTGAACCCTGGAGGCGGAGGTTGCAGTGAGCCGAGATCACACCACTGCACTCCAGCCTGGATGACAGAGTGAGACTCCATCTCAAATAAATAAAAATTAAAATAAATAAAATGAGAGAGGAAATGTTACCCAGAGATCAATACCTACAGAAAACAGATATCTCCCCTAGGGCTGGAGAACAAAAGGGAAAAAGTGGTGTTGCCAGAGTTCAGGAGGATATTTATTTCTGGGGATGCTGCACAGCAAGCTCATGAAGCACTCACAGAGATCATCTAGAACCAGAGAGACAGGGGATGAAGAGCATTTTGCCCCATCTTTTATTCCTTAATAGAAGACTAATCTAAGTGTTCTACATTGCCAATAAAATGGTGCATTTATGTGGACCATGTCTAGTAAATGAATAAGGGGACTGTTTAAATACGGTATGGGAACAACAGTAGGTGAACATTGATTTTTTTTCAAAAGCTGTTAGTCCCCAACAGTAAATATAATTGGAAAAGCTCCCTTTAAAGGCATCAGATGTTCTCTATTTTCCACTAACTCTCTTAATGTACCTACAAGAATTGACCCTGCTGTTCTAGATGCTGTTTTTAGCATTACATTTCCTGAAAATAGCTTTAAAAAAATGTAGAGGTTTAAGCAACATGAGCATGCTGGGGTGAATTTATCTTGTTTCCCAATAAACAAAAATTACAAATGACAAAAGAACTTTGTAAGGCTGTAGAAAGGGATCAAAATGTATCTCTTCTCCCACCAGAAGCAATGCTCATTATAGCAGGAGCCCCGGGTATGATCTCAGTTGGCATCTTGGCCTTTAGAACAAGATGTTAAATAATTAGCGTTATTATAGCAATGGGAGCTGGATATAAGCTACATTAGCAGATCCCCTCCTGTGTAAAGAAGGCGGCTAACACAAGCAGACTACAAGAACTTGTAAGATCAAAATTTATGAAAACCTACTGTGTGCCAGGAATTTTTAAAACATATGTATTTATTTAAGTGAGAGAACATGGGACTAAGAATCAGAACACCTGCACCTACGTTTTTACTTTGACTTTTAAAAATTATGTGATTCTGGGAAATGTATTTAACTTTTCAATTTCAGTTTTCTTAGGTGTAAAGTAGGACTAAGAATAATCATCTCATATGGAAATCGTGAAGGCTTAAGTAAATGTGAAAAGTTTGTAAAGTTTCTATATAAATATTTCTGTTAAAAACTATAAATGGCTACTTAAATTTTTATGTCTGCTTTTATGATTGTTATTAGGTTGGAGCAAAAGTGATGGTGGTTTCTGCCATTACTTTTTTTTTTTTTTTTTTTTTTTTTTAGACAGAGTCTCACTCTGTCGCCCAGGCTGGAGTGCAGTGGCCTGATATCAGCTCACTGCAAGCTCCGCCTCCCGGGTTCAAGCCATTCTCCTGCCTCAGCCTCCCGAGTAGCTGGAACTACAGGCACCCGCCACCACGCCCGGTAATTTTTTGTATTTTCAGTAGAGACGGGGTTTCACTGTGTTAGCCAGGCTTGTCTCCAACTCCTGATCTGCCATTACTTTTAATGGCAAAAACTGCAATTACTTTTGCACCAAGCTAATAATATATTAAGTTAAAAAAAAAAAAAAAAAAAAGAGCCGCCTGTAATCCCAGCACTTTGGGAGGCCGGGGCGGGCGGATCACGAGGTCAGGAGATCGAGACCACCCTGGCTAAAAAAAAAAAAAAAAAAATACAAAAAATTAGCCAGGCGTGGTGGCGGGCGTCTGTAGTCCCAGCTACTCGGGAGGCTGAGGCAGGAGAATGGCGTGAACCTGGGAGGCAGAGCTTGCAGTGAGCCGAGATCGCGCCACCGCACTCCAGCCTGGGCGACGGAGCCAGACTCCGTCTCAAAAAAAAAAAAAAAAACCCAACCATTTCAAGTGTTTGGCTGCAATAACAAGATGGCAGTTGTTAAGATGGCATTTTGAAGGTGTTTGCTAGTATTGTTGACAAAAATGTAAATCCCTGAATACTGTTTTGCAAATAACAATTCGTCCTTGCAGATTCTACAAGGAGATAGACATGGGAAGCAAAGTCAATGAGAAATAATTATTACTTTATTATTACTTGAGTGAGTGCCTAGATCTGAGTCGGAGGTCTGCAGCTCTTTGTTTGCAGCTAGCCTAATTTCGAATCTTGGAATTTCACTACTTAATGACCAGCTACATGGTGCAGGTACCTGACACAGTGACCAGGGTTCTTGTATAGTTTTGTGGAAAAAATGAGAAGTGGCTGAGTTCCTCTCGAGAGTACCATAAAAGAGGAGTGAAAGAGAAAAAAAGTATGGCATTAATTTCTGTTATTTATGGCACAGTGTTCCTGCTTGCCAGCCAATGTGGACAAATCTATGGTCAATAATTTGATGAATAAGATGAGCAATGTCTTCATAAGAGGTTAGGGAACAAGGATGCACGTGGAGAGAAAGAGGCTAAAATCTCCTCCTCTGCCTTGGCAGTCAGCAGCCCTAGAGGGCCCTTTGCAGGAGCCAGGCTGTCTTTCTCTGGTTGACCATTCACACCAACCAGATCTCTGGGTAAATTCATAGGGTATTATTCCACAGTGATGCACTACAAAGATGAAACCTAGTTTAGCCAGTGTGCAAATTATCATTTTATTGTCTCTCAGCTCCAAATCCACTCTTCATTACCTGACCTGTGAAATGCAGCTGGTCTCTTCAATTATTTCTTCTTCACCATATGGGACGCTGTTAAGCTTTGCCAACAGAGTTCTGGAAAGACCATCAGTGGAGGAGGAAAGTGATCTTCCTTCTCTCTGGTTCCAGTGTGCTCCACTTCGTAGGCTCCTGCAGTGTGGGGTAGCTTCTTCCATGCCCACTTCCTGCAGTGCACACTCCTCTTCAATCCTGGATTCTGAAGCATGGGCAGCTTCCCCAGCACATGGCTGCTACAACTTGCATGGTTTCGCCAGCATCAGCCCAGATGTCTTTTCCAGTACCTCGCTCCTGCCGTTCCTAGTGGATAACAGCACTTAAAGCCAGCAGCTTCCTCTAGCACCCTGTGGGTGGTTTTGCAGTGGAATATCTCAGGCAAGATAACCCTGTGAACAGTTTCCCCAGCAATATAGACAACAGATGGACTTCCAGCAACTTCCTCTGGTGCAGCAGACAGACTTCTCTGCCTTCCAGTGGGTCACAGCCACTCCTTTCCAAGATCTAAATCTCAGCCACAGGAGTCAGGTGTGGTGGGTTCTTTTTTTGATGCTCTATCTAACTCCTAGAGATACTCATTATATCTGCCATTCTTACATGTTTTAGAATTCTATTTTTTTTATTAGCGACTACTTCGTTACTCCAATCCCTAGTTATCATTGCTACTCTTTTTTTTTTTTTTTTTTTTTTTTTTGAGACAGAGTCTTGCTCTGTCACCAAGCTGGAGCTCAGTGGCGTGATCTCAGCTCACTGCAACCTCTGCCTCCTGGGTCTCCAAGTGATTCTCCTGTCTCAGCCTCCCGAGTAGCTGGGACTACAGGTGCGCACCACCATGCCCAGCTAATTTTTTGTATTTTTAGTAGAGATGGGGTTTCACCATGTTGGCCAGGATGGTCTTGATCTCTTGACCTCATGATCCGCCCATCTTAGCCTCCCAAAGTGCTGGGATTACAGGCGTCAGCTACTGTGCCTGGCCAATACTCTTTTTCTTAAACTTCCTATATTCAAAACACTCTGTGTTTTCTGTCTCCTGATTAGACCCTGCCTGTTACAGGCAGGTGACTGTAGGCTTGGCACTACTCTGGGAAGAAGAGGTGTGACAGTTAACATTAAGTGTCAACCTGATTGGATTGAAGGATGCAAAGTATTGTTCCTGGGTGTGTCTGTGAGGGTGTTGCCAAAGGAGATTAACATTTGAGTCAGTGGACTGGGAGAGGCAGACCCATGCTCAATCTGGGTGGGCACTATCTAATCAGATGCCAGTGCAGCTAGAATAAAGCAGGCAAGAGAAGATGGAAGAGCAGACTTGCTAGGTCTTCTGGCCTCCATCTTTCTCCCATGCTGGATGCTTCCTGCCCTCGAACATCAAACTCCAAGTTCTTCAGCTTTTGGGCTCAGGCTTACACCAGTGGTTTGCCAGGGGCTCTCAGCCCTTTGGCCACAGACTAAAAGCTGCACTGTTGGCTTTCCTACTTTTGAGGTTTTGGGACTCGGACTTGCAGACAGCCTATCGTGGGACTTTACCTTGTGATCCTGTGAGTCAATTCTCCTTAATAAACCTCCTTTCAAATATACATTTATCCTATTAGTTCTGTCCCTCTAGAGAACTCTAATACAAGAGGGAACTAACATTTACTGAGCATCTGCTTTACATGAGGCCGTGTTGTGTGTTTCATCCTCTTCATCTCATTTAATTATCATGGCAACTCTATGTTGCAGAATACTATTACCGATGTGATTTTACAGCTTAGGACCCTAAGGCTCAGAAAAATAAATGATTTGCCACCCTCCCTCAGCTATTAAATTACTTTGAGATTAAACTTGTATTTTTCTGGATTAAAGCCCATGATACATACAGCCAGATGTTTTCCAATATCAAGTTGAAATATACTTTAGGTTTACTTTCCTATTTAGCACTAGAAAATTTCCTAGATACTTATTGAATAATGCCCTTTCTAATTTTCATTGAAATAGCAATTGTATTTCTTTGTGACAAGATGAAACTGATCTTACTAGAATTCAAGTATTCTTTATCACCCTCTCTTGGTGTCTGCAAGGACCAAATAGGAGCACCTTGGATTGAGCTATCAATAACTAACCTTCAGAGCGACTGCTACTATGCTTCCTTTCTTAACTGATCTTCTTTTAACTCCAATTGATTTTTCAAACTTTAGAGTGTCTGCTTGATTCCTGTTTTCTTGTACTCCCATCTTCCTTTATAACATCACAAACTTTATATTTATGCTTTGGCCCAGTGGGGTGATTTCTCAGATGAAATAACTTGTTTTCTTGATCTAGTTCTAAAATCATCACAGGAACCAGTAGCATGAAAGAGAATTGTGCAATATATTTTGAGGATCATGAATTACTCATTGGAAAGAAAATGATGGATATGTTTCTCTATTCTCTAAATATACTATGTATTTTCTCAAAATGTTTTTGAGAAACATTAGGAAGGTCTATCTCCTACAGACCATTCCCCAAACATTCAGACATAGTTGGGTGGTCCCTAGTTTATATCTTCACATATCCATTCCCACCAAATAGTACAGGACCTGCATGGAACATACCATCATCAACACTTGTCATATGAATATTAAAATTTCATCTCCTTTTATCTGAATAACAGTTATATGCATAATGTCACAGAATATTGGACTTGAAGAAGACCTTAGATACGATTCTTGCCAATTTTATGGATAAGGAAATAAAGTAAAGGAAGAAAGTACCTCACAGAAAGACCTAGAATTAATCAGCAACAGGAACTCTGATTCATTCTGGCTTTCTTTCCATGGTTCTGTCTGCCTTTTTGGATAACCTGAAGCTGGAACTGGCTAACTGATGTTGTCCTAAAGTGGGAATTTCATATTTTAGATTACATTTTTTTCTTGGCTGCCAATAGTTATCAAGGTAATAAAAATAACCTAAAAGTCAACCAGCTAGAGGACTCACAGCTGGAAATAAATATGTAAAAATCAATTATAAATTATTTACATCCTTATTTAACTTCTTTACTGCCTTTTTGATATGCAATGACAGAGACGGGTTTCTTAAACTCTCTCACTGTAATAGTAGTTTTGTTCATTTTTTCAAATTTCTAATATTTTTGTTTTACACGCTTTGGTGTTTGTTTTGTGTGTTTGTGTTTTGTTTTTTTAAAATGGAGTTTTGCTCTTTTGCCCAGGCTGGAATGTAGTGCTGTGATCTTGGCTCACTGCAACCTCTGCCATCCAGTTTCAAGAGATTCTCCTGCCTCAGCCTCCCGAGTAGCTGGGATTACAGGTGCCTGCCACCATGCCGGGCTAATTTTTGTATTTTTAGTAGAAAGGGGGTTTCACCATGTTGGCCAGGCTGGTCTTGAACTCCTGACCTCGTGATCCACCTGCCTCGGCCTCCCAAAGTGCTGGGATTACAGGCATGAGCCACCGCGCCCGGCTCTGGTGGTTTTTTTTGGTGATTATAATAAGAGGACTTCTTTAATACTATTTTGTGCTTCCCTTTTCCATGTCTCCAAATCCTACAAGTTCCTCTAGGCTTTCTTTGAAACTCCCCCATCCCACGAGACTTGAGGGTATTATACAAGTAAAATGAGCCAGACACAAAAATACTAATATTGTATGATTCCACTTATATGCAGTACATACAGTATTCAAATTCATAGTGATAAAAAATAGAAAGGTGGTTGACAGGGCCTAGAAGCAGAGAAGGCAGAAAGAAGAATAGGGTTGTTTAATGAGTGTAGCATTTTAGTTTTGCAAACTGAAAAGAGTTCTGGAGAATAGGTTACAAAACAATGTGAATATAATTAACATTACTGAACTGTACACTTAATGGTTAAAATGGTAAATTTTATGTTTTCATATTTTACTGCAATTAAAAAAAAATGCCAACAACAATTCCACATCCTAGAGTCTTTTCTAACAACTCTGGTCCTGACTACTTTCTCTTGTTTCTGGACCCCTGATACTTGCACTCTTGTTTATCACTTTGTTGCTTCATTATACACTGTCATAATCTCAGTTTGTTTCACAAAGAATGGCAGCACTAAACACAGAGTGAAAATCTCACTTCTTGTTTCTACCATAATCATAAATTGGCATTAGAGTCTCAATGGACAATTGCTGACAGAAATAGAACCAACATAACCAAAAAAATATTTTAAAATGTATAGTGTCACAAAAGAATTCATTAATTCAACTTTAAATTAATACAACCGGGCCAGTTGTCTACGGAAATGGCTGGAGCCTAATTTGTGTTTCCTGTCCTCTATTGTGTCCGATTCAATAGCACAGGGAGTGTCGGCGTCATAATATCAGCCCAGATTCAAATTAGGAAAACAGGATCCACCCTGTGTTGTCCACATATGAAGGAGTTTAAAATAGAAAATTAGGCACTTATGCTACCACTGAAAGAGCTAGGAGCGCTAAGGTCAAAGAAGCTATCACCAACAGTCTCAGCTTGATTTGCTAAATTGGATGGTTCCTATTACTCTCTAGGGAACTGCTGTGAACCTCATGTCTATTCAGGTGTCAGCCTGTGACTATTTCCAGGAAATAGTGGCTTCCTCTCATCCACTTTCCAAAACACATGTGAGTGGTTTTCATTGGCACATTTTAATTTGAACCAAATGGGGAAGAGCATTCTAGAAATTAGAATTTGCTTTGTCCTCTACTGTCATTAGAAGAGGAGATATGTGAACAGGGTGGTGATGCAAATTTGGTAATAAACAATTCAGTAAAGTCACACAGACCAAATACAATAAATAGAATACAATTTGTCCTCCGCTTTGTAGAATGCCCCACTTATACAGTCATACTTAACCCGAAGTTTTTTGCAAACAACACACAGAGGTGCCTTACCCTCCAGGGCTTCGGAAGTATCAGCTCTGTCCCCAGTTGTTGATGTAGCCACTTGGAATCCTTGGCCCAACAGTTCTTCAAATTCCCTACACTTGTTTCCAATATTGAAGATACCCAGGATTAAGACCTAAGGCTTCTAACACCCTCTCTAGTCAGTGGCACATGTCTAGGGTCTCTCAAAGATCTTAGTGAGGCAGACACACTGGAATCTTCCCCACAGTATTGTGGACATTCTGGCCTCACTTTGTGCACTGTAGTGGATTCATTGATGAACCCCAGAATTTAGGGTGGAGCCATAAGAGTACAATCCCCAAATGAATTCTGCAAGTACACGAGACACTACACACCTCCTCACAGTGACACAAACAAGCCCAACATGTGCTGAACAGCCTGAACAATTCCAAAAAAAAAGGCTACACATATCAAACTCCTATCCAGTGCCTGAGACAGACTACCTCTCCAATCAATGCTTCAGAGAGGAATTTCTCTTCTATCCAGTGCCGAGGAGGCACCAATCTCATCCCTAACAATGATGCAGAGAGACAGACGCCCCTTCCATGATGCTGAATACGCTGTGGCCTTGGCCATCCCATGCTGCAAATGTTGTCTCCTCCTCAATCTACTTTTTGAGACCCTCTCTACCCTCCCCCATTTCTAATACATTTGAACCTTTCCATTCCAGTTCTGCCTTCATTAGGGCTACAAAAACCCTCACCCCTGGCTGGCTAGTTCTCTAAATTCACCGGCCTCTCTCCTAAAGAGTTTTATTCTGTACTGTCCACAGGTTGTGTCCCACCACAACCATTTATCAGCCATTCCCCCAGCTGCAGAAACCTGGCTCTTCTCATATTCTAGGCTGCAGACAAGCCTGCCTCCCTCCAACCACACCTGCAGGCTCTCTTACCCTTGTCCATCCCCTGATGATCTCCCTCCTTCCCCAACTAGGCAGAAATTAAACAGAACTTCAAAGTACTGCATTGCCAAGAACTACAGAGGAACCTATCACTGCCATTACAGTGCTACAGACACCTCCCCTCTCCAACCAATGTGTCAAATAGACTCAGCCTCCCCCATCCATTCATCCATTAAATAGGAGCTACTCTCTTCTTGCCATCCCCCATTCATTGCTCTAAACAGTATCTTCTGAGCATACGGTATAGGAAACACCCTGGTTTTCTCAGGGCACATTGAGACACACATTGGTTTTTTCTTTTCAAGTTGTAGATGTGAGACTTAGGAAAGATCACCAGACTAATTACATAAAAGCCATTTGCAAAATCTTCATTGCCTATTAAGAACATACTAATTCAAGGATGCCCTCAATCCAGATTCTGCTTACTGTCAACCTTATCTTTTACTTTTCCCATGGAATTCTATGTGGCCGTATTAAAGTGTACTCCAAAACACATACAAAGCTAACTGTAGCTGACAGAGTTCCTTGACTGCTCAACTTGTATTCTCTTTTTTCATTACCCTTCTGTTTCTTCCTGGCCAACAGATCTCCAGGTGTGTTTAGGTGACATTATACCCAGATCTGGAGAATGGCTCATGATTGGGCTAAGAGAGTAAGGAAACCCCATATACTTTTCCCACTGGTTGGTCCAGAGGAGGTGTAAAGCCTAGTTGTGGCCAAAAAGATGCGAGAAAAATAAGCTAGGAGGTACCTGAAAAGATTATTCTCCCTGAAAAAGAAAAACAAAAAAGAAAAGAAAAGAAATGAGATATACTAGAATACCCCTTACCACATTTTTACCCTCCAGCTCTGGATACTGTTCTGTGAGTCCCAATAGCTGGGCAGTCTATATGAGCCTCTGGAATTAATAAATGCCTTTCTGGAGATATCACATTGATTTGGCCAGTTTTTAAAATAATTTGAAACAACAATTGGTTGTAGGTAGTCAAGAGAAGATTCAATCCCAAAATAATCCTTTAGAGTTCTCTTTGGAAGAAATCAATTAGAACAAGATTGAGATGGAATTTAAGTTAAATAAATGCAGGAAACATGAGGGAGATTAGTCACTTGGGCTATTTTCCATCATAAGAGAGCCAAATGTAGCCTTAAACAAATGTGGCATTTTGTTTCTCCATCTGTAATATTTGTTTAATTTAAAAAAGAAATACTCAGGGTATCTGCATTCTAGTGTGCACTCATGCACTCTCTCTCCCTCTCTCCCACCTCCTCCCTCAATATTGCCCTTAGAATTATCTTAAAATTGGAGGAGGGGGACAGGAGGCAGTTGTCATGGCATAAAGATGCTGAAGTAAAATTAAACTTCTGAACCCATCGGAGCTATATTTGCCAAAAGTACTTGAGAAACAGAAAGATAAAAATCATGTGAAGAGATTTTTTTTTAAGAATTCAATGTAACCTCTTGCTTTCCTCAATGTTTGAGTCATCTACAGAACAAAGAAATCTAGGTCTTATCTGTGAGAGCTTTAGACCCAACTAGATTGTAATCACAGCAACCCCGGGATTTTGCATAGTTTCTTTCTACTACCCTGGTATGGCTAATAAATAAGTTCAAACAAAACAGCCCAGGAAAGCATTGAATTAAATTATACAGTACCATTTCTCCAGGTATTGAGCTAAAGAGAATGGAGCTAAAATTGCCCTGCTGTCTTGTCATTACCCTATTTCTAATTCTGTCATTTTCTTTCCAAAAATCTCACGCATTTTGCAGGTTCTCTTAGTAGATCTGTTCCATGAATGAGCAACTGGACAGTTCTCAGTCACAGTCTGGTGGTTTATTTGTGAATACACAGAAACAGCCAGAGAGAGAGGCAGGAGCAGAACTCTCACTTCTGTCATCTTGGTATTTGTAGCTGTGCTCATGTTCCAAAGCTACGAGGTTAGGGAGAAGGAGGAAAGAGAAGAGAAATTGGAATCTCCATAAAAACACTGCAATTATCTTGAACTTTCCATATGCAGACCTTTATGGACTTCTATGGTTGAAAATAAATTCTTTATTGATTTCACTGTAGTAATTTACAGCTCCAAGGTAATCAAATTGGTGGATAACTTGGAATAGTCTTAGACTTATGCAACAAGAAACAAGCACAGAAATGCATTTTCGTTAGTAATATCAATCTCAGAGTTCCTAAAGCAGATATGCCTTGTTTTTGGCAAGTATCTGCAGAGATAATCATTCCAGGTGGCACCTTCAAGACCAACAGAGAAGGATCCCTAGGAAGAGAGAAATGGAGAGTAATGTAGAGCTATTGCCATCTAGTGGCTCATAACAGAGACATCAGGTGCCTTTTCACATGAACAGAATTTTTTTCAAAGGCATAAATATTTTGTGATTTTATTTCACTGCTCTTTGCATGTATATATGGATTAAAACTCATTTAAAGAATTCATGGATGCTTATTTTTATATGAGAACAATTCCAACCTCTAGCCATGTTGAAATTTTCATTCATTTATCAAACATTTATTGAGCCTAGCCAGGCCTTGTGCTTAACACTAGGGACACAGAAATGAGCCATTCTCAGAGCTCCTGTTTCAAGTTGCAGTTCAAAAGCTATGCCCAGTTGTTCTGGAATTCATGTGTGATCCAAGTGCACCCCTGCATATTTAAAAAATTCTAAATAGACAGATGGATACACATATAAACACAAACATACATAAGTTAATACAGCACTACGTATTATGCACAGTACAAATCATTTACCAAAATACACCTTTCTACAAAGAATATAAGAAACATGAATTAAGATTATTGAAGCACTTCAATTATATTTTTAATCAAGTAAAAAATCCGTATTCAAAATCTTACTAAGTTTATTATAAATATTTTTAACATTGTAATGTGATGGACTATGTTCCATCATTTAAATGAAATCTTGGTTTAATGCTTTATGATGCAGAATTGAAGGTCTGATTCTCTTCATTGTGTTTTGATATTTGGCTTTGATGACAGTGATAGCTACAAAATACTTCTCAAGAGATCTATGGATCCAAGAGATACACCACTATCTACACTTTCTGAATCATGATATTAATTTCTTAATCCCACTGACAACATTTCTTGTTCACTTGTTAAAATTTAACAAATTCCCTCCTCCCTAATGTCGAAATCAGAATTTAAAAATATTTATTGAAGTTTTACTTGCTTTTTGATTGACAAATGAGAACTATATATGTATTGGGGATACAATGTGATGTTTTGTTATATGTATACCTTGCGGAATCAGACTTCTGGTGAATGAATCAGAAGGGATTTCATTTTAATATTTTCACTGAATGGCCTTAAAATCTGCTGAAATTCTTTATTTAGAGGATCTTAAGACAGGTTAGAGAATTCTATCTCAATTTTATTTTAATCTAAGATATGAGAAGTTTATAAGAAATGAGACATATCATCTTCGACAACGACGATGCAAACGTTTCCGAATATCCATTTTGAACATTCTTTCCCCATTGCAGGATTAAAACCAAAGCAAATAGTTACTTTCTCACTCATTGTCAGAATGTCACCTTTACCTTGAAAGGAGACAATAAGTGTCTTTATCTTTTCTGAAGATCTCTGTTAGACAGTAGTGTATTGACAGCTACTTGTCATTACAGAAAAGGTCAGGAAATTTGGAACTCTTGTCATTTAGTGTAAGAAAAATGTTATTCTTTTATTTCTTTGCCAAAAGATAACAGGAGATCTGTGCTGAACAAAACAAAAATAAAAACAACACATAAAATAGATTTATATGATGCCATCTTGTGTCAGTATTATAACATTCCAGTATTATAAATATTTTACTCTTTATGATACAAAATTCATAAATCCTGTGAGAACTGCTCTATGATGCACTGAGCATGAACGGACATGTGAGTGTGCAGCTGTCAACCCCTTTGAGTTGTGGAATTTATATTCTTCCCTCAGGATACAACTTATACCTTAAGTGACACATGGCCCAAGTGAGGAAGCCACTGCCAATCATATATATTACTAAAGCATAATTTTTAGGCTATTCTATAAAAGTGAGTATAAATAGCTGGTTTTTTGTTTTTGTTTTTGTTTTTGAGACGGAGTCTTGCTCTGTCGCCCAGGCTAGAGTGCAGTGGCCTGATCTCAGCTCACTGCAACCTCCACCTCCCAGGTTCAAACGATTCTCCCGCCTCAGCCTCCCAAGTAACTGGGATTACAGGCACCCGCCACCGCACCTGGCTAATTTTTGTATTTTTATAGAGATGAGGTTTCACCATGTTGGCCAGGCTAGTCTTGAATTCCTGACCTCGCAATCCACCTGCCTCAGCCTCCCAAAGTGCTGGGATTGGCATGAGCCACTGCGCCCGGCCATAAATAGCAGTTTTAACATTTCCTTCCCTTCATCACTTTGGAGATCTTTGGGAGGCCTTTGTGTCATTTCAGGTTTTAATGTTCTGTCCTCTGCCCTGAAAAGCAAGAACTCTCAGGAGCCTTCATATTGGTGGTAGTTCCAAAGTAGAAACTGTTGGTTATGGGGCCAGTTCTGTGTAAGTATAGTTGGGTACCCCCAAAGACCTAGATGTGTCTGCGGATAGTTGGCTGGTAGTTTGTGCGCCACAGAAGCTAATTTTAAATCTCCGTTAGCTCCCAGTAGCTTCTATACCTTCCATTGGGAGCTCACAGAGACTGGCTCAAGGGAGCACAGCCTCCTCTGGGAAGCAGCCTCCACTTAGAGAGCAGGCGTCCTCTGAGGCTGCTCCAGGCCTCTCTGGGGTGCTGTTTTAGATTCCCTCAGCCAGACTTTCCTTCATTCAGGGTATCTTAGTGTTACACACCTCATCGTGAAGAAGGAGCCTTGTAGGCTTAGGCTTTTGGGCCTGCTCAAGCTGCAGGTCCTATGGCAGAATTAGAGCCTGGCAACTCAGGAGCATCGGTAAAGCTGACAGCCCTTGGGCTCTGGAAAGAGCAAGAATCTGAGCACCCTGGAGCCCTGCACATCTGATAGTGCCATCCCAGAGAGCCAGTAGGAGATGGGGAGAAGGCTTAGGGCATCAGGACTGCTGGTGGAGGCAAATGTTGGATTCCAAGGCTTTTTTCTGAGTTTGGAAATGAAGTCCAGCCCCCGCACACTGGGGAGGATCCAAGCCACGTTTTATTTTATCTTCTTCCAGTCTTGTGGACCAAAGCTAGCAGGATTAACTGCATCTAGCAGCGTTAGTGGATCAGGGATTCTAGTTAAATCCCATCTCTATTCCTCGTAGATACTTTCCAGGAATCAAAGCAAGCAGAAATGTTTCACTTAGGTTTTTGCAAAAGGGCTGTAGAATCAAATATTGGGCAATAACTTTATTTCTAATAAAAGATATGGCTATTGCTTCAAATTATTAATCTATCCCCACAAAAGTGTGATATATTTGTTCTATTTCTGTGTAAAGATGACTGAATTGTAATATTTTGATTTCTGATGACTTTGTTTATGTCAAAAATAGTTGGAGAATCTTGCTGAAGGATGGAAAATACAAGTCACATATATTGCCACTTGTCTACTCTAAGCCCATGGCAGGCGTCACTACTTAGCTATTCCTTTTGTGTGGTGCTTTTTGGGATCCTTCCAGCATGGCCAGCATGAAACTTAGTCTATATAAGAGAGGTAAAGAATTGTTACCTTACTTTATTGTCTTTTAAAAATGTTTTCTTATGAAAAATTCTCACATACAAAGAAAGAGAACGGTATTATGAGCCCCCAAGTACTCATTACTGTTTATCAGAAAGTATTTACAATTTGAAAGTTCATTTCGTCTATTCAACTTCACCCCATGCACACACAAATATACATACATATATATAATATATTATTTTAAAATACAATTAAATATAACATCAAGTTTCCAGATAATAGCTGTTCAGAAAATTAATTTTTGAGAACCCTCTTTGTGCCCCTGCCCTCATTCAAAGATGATGATGAAGGCTCCTGTAAAACTGTATGTTCACATAGGCTTCTCCTGCCCTTAGAACATTCGAGAAGAGCTGGTAAATTTATCCTACACCGAACTTCAAAGTCCTGTGGCTCTGGAGCTTTTGTACCAGGCTCTGCCATCTGAATCTCAGCCTGCATTCCAGCCCCAGGGTCTAGGGTCCAGCTTCCTGAGATTTACCAAATTGTCATTCCCTTTTGAGGGGTGCAGGGGTCCTTCCTGCACCCATGGGTATTGACAATGGAGCCAACTTCACATGTCAAATATTCCATAAATTAGCAGATTGTCATCCCCTTTTAAATTGTGTGGTATACCCCAAGATTTCACTGCTTTTATCTATTTCTCTTCATTCTGGATGATACTTCTCTTCCCTCCCTCTCATGATATCCTTCATAAATTTAAGCCTCCACAAAGGCCATAAAAAGTGATTTTCTTCGGTTATTTTGCTTTGGCTCAGCAATTACATCAAAGGGAAGGGAATGCAAAGTTCTGTTGCCTTTTTAGAATGAGAGGAGGAAAATACAAAGCATAAAGCAGAAATACTACTCATTCTTTTTTCATTTTTATAGCTGGAAAAGCAAAACACAATTTAATATTTCAAAAAATTGCCTGTCGTACCAGCTTTTCATGATTAAAAACAATGCCTCTAAAAATGCACTTGTGCTTTCCCACAGTGTCTGATATATGTTTTGTTTCTAGCCAGCCAATAATCAGCTCTTGCAGTGATGTTGGGAACTTTGTGAAGATATTTATCATTCTATAGGAACTCATCAAGGAAAAGCTAGAACGATTGCTGGCAGTATCTGAGTCACTGAGGTAGAATAGAAAGAGTATAGAATTTACAATCAGAAGAGAATCCACCCAGCTGCAGTCTTTGTGTAACTTAGTTATAAACTACCTGTTTAGAACTTTGAGTCTTAGGTTCCTTAACATAATATCTATAATGTTGATAATTATAATAGTATACGCCATGACATTGTTAAAGGTATCAGATAAACAGATGTGTATAAAATCATCTGAAAAATAAAAATAGAAAACTAATGTTACTTATTATTTCATGAAATTTAAAGTGTCACATTTCTTTATATTAATAAAGTACCATAAAAATAAAATATTTGAAAGCTCAGAAATTGGGGGATTTTCTGATTCTGAGTAGAGTTTGCATACATTTGAGAATATTCTAAAAATGCACTGGGTTTGGTCAAGACACACAGGTGGTCAGTATACATAAGTGAAGTGGAGAGTATCTGAACTGGTTAGGTGCTGGAGGCAAGGATTTATACCTAGGATGTTCTGCCATTGCCAGGTAATGACATCAGCATATGAAGAAAGGCCTTATTCTAATATGATATTTACTGTATCAAAGCAGTTGATAGAAGTAATGTCTTTCTCGTTTTGCTACTTTAATGTGGAAGATTTGCATGTCAGGCTCTCTGTTAGACCCTAAGCTTCTAAAAGTCCAAGTGAGGCCTTACAGGGTGCTTGCCAATTAAGAAGTTAAGATCAGACAGATCTGGTTTCAAATATAAGCTCTGACTCTTCTTAATTTGAGACATGCTGTTTGAACTCTTTTAGCCTCAATCTGTAAAATGGAGATGGTAATAGCCTCTAAATCAGGGTTGCTGTGAAGATTAAATGAAAACATCTGTAAAGCCTGAAACACAGTTAATACTCAATAAATGCAGCCCTTATTGTTTTCAGCACATTGAATTGTTCATGATAATTTATTTGCCTAGCTCCCTAATTAGATTAAACATTTGAAGGCAGAGGTCATGTCCTATACCATCTCCCATTTCATTCTATATTTTCCCCAGTAGACTAATGTTTCTTAGTGTGGTAGTCTAGACCACTGAGATTCTTCAGCTTATCCAAAAAGAGAACCCCTTTGCCCTGCCTAGATTCTGAACAATGTCAAAAATAAAACAATAAAATTGAAGGCCAAAATATTACCAGTGCTACTGATAAAGCTAAGTACAAAAATGACCTTGCGGAAGAGCCAAAGTCACCTTCAAAGACAACTCCTGAACTGGAAAAGTTTACCTACCCAATGTCAGGCAGCACTGGACTAGGGCTGTGGGGAGGCCTGACCAAGTCAGATAAGAGCACAAGGCCAGTTCAGGCTGCCCTCGGGCAGTCTCATTTCCAACCCCGGCCAAGAAAGCTGTGCTAGAGGTGGCCTAGATTTCCAGAGTTTGGGGGCACAATGTGAGGCCAGATATAGATCCTGTAGAAGACAACTGAACTTGATTGTTTTAAAGGATTTCCTATCAAGAGCACCATCTGAAGTGGTGAGTAAACTCTCCAGAGAAAGTCCTGGGATGCCTCTCAGAACCCAAGAACCAAACAGGAAATAATGTGTATTTAGCCAGGGGACACCTCATGTACTCCAGACAAACCTTTCCTGTCCCTTACCTCTCTTTGCTCCCCGTTCCAACACTAGAGAATTCATTCCAACGCTGGAAAAGGAGGACAAGAAGAAAAAGAGAAAATAGGTGAGGGAACCAATATCATCTGCATTTTCCCATTCCAGAATTTTCAGTCTGAAGAAGGGCCAAGCTAGGAAGTGGAAGAAACTTTAAAGTAAATGAAACATTGAAGCCTTAATATAAGCTTGGATTTTTCAGACTGGGAAATAAAACTATTTGTTACTATCTAAAAGATACAGAACATGCTGAGATTTCATCCAGGGATTAGGAAAAATGTTTCTAGAGGATAGGTTGGAAAGGACAATTAACCATAGAGACTGACTTTTTTTTCATAAACAAAACTTAACTATAGAGACCGATTTTTTTAATGTATTTATTCATCATGAGAATTTATATAGAAGTTCTGAAATGGAAAGTCTCTTTTTCTTTCTGAGTTGTGATAGTTAAGAACTGTATGCACAGAGTGGCTCAAGGCTATTTTTCCTGAGAATAAAGCTAAATCAGGAAAAAGCAGAACCAAGAGACTGAAAAGAGGGAGAGGGAGAGAGACAGAAAGAGAGAGAGAGATTTATTATTGATAACATTTTCTGATTTCTAATTCAGACAGGCTTAATGCAAAGTCTCCTCTAGGACTGCAGTTTGTTTAAGACAATGCATTCTTTTTTTTCTAATTAAGCAAGTTATAAGATTGTTTTCTTTCAATTTGCATCAGAAAGAGTTCTCATTAATAAAGCATAATTATTTAGAAGAAATTAAAACTACATGTACTACACATGCTTCACTTCACAATTAAATAAAATCACTGATATTTGAGTAACTTCTTAGCCTTTGTGTTATTCGTATACAACAATGGATAACATGCACTGAACATTTATTATGTATCAAGCACCTTTATATGAACTAACTGAATTCCTATAATGACCTATGAAGTTTTTACTATCTGGTAGGCTCTTTGGCTTATCAATGCAGAAACTGAGAGGTTAAGGAAGTTGTCCACAGCCTCACAGCAAGTAAGTGAAGGAGCAGGGGTTCAAACCCAAGCTGTCCAGCCTACAGCCTACTCCTAATCTCAATGCACAGTCAAAAGAGAAGAAGATAATTGTTAATATGATTGAACAGTGCATACGTCCCAAGGTGTTATGTGAATAAATGCTTTATTGTATCTAAGAACACTGATTATAGAGGCACCTAAGTAAGTGAAATGAGCTATTAGATGAAACATTTCTAATAATGCCAGATCATTTCCAGGATTTTAAGTTACTTAGCTATACTGTGCCTCTCAATATGAGCAGGACCTAGCGCAGTCTGAACCTATGATACTGGTGCTAAAATATATGTTTTTCGGGTTAAGGATACTGTATTAAGTTTTCATGAGAAAACTAAACCATGTGCAGATGGATTGATGCCTGACAGTTTCACTCTTTCACAATACCTAATTTTTTTTTAACCTGCTGGAGAATAAAGTTGTTTGTATATATTATGAGGCATGTTTACTCAAAATCTGAAGGGAAGTTATCAGAGATGTTTAAAACAAGGAGTTGATAGAGACCCATTCACTATTATGTTTCATGTTCAGACATTTTACTTTTCAGCTTTTGAGATGAAATTACAGAGTGTCAAGTAGTCTCTGAAAAAAAAAATCTATCTATACATTTTGGGTCCATTTGAATCTGAATCTCTAGAACCATCTAACAGAGACACTGAACACTATCGTCCTTCCTGATAACTATAGTTGTAAATTAGAATGTTCTAATTTAATGCAAAAATATTGTGGGATCTGGCCAGCAGCCCACAATGCAATGGGGCTCTCTCTTTGTTCCTAGGCGGATCGGCAGGTTGAGAAATAATAGACACACACAAGATAGTGAAAGCTGGGTCCAGGGGGGTCGCTGCCTTCTAGTCCCATGGTGCCAACAATGCACTGGATATACCAGCATTTATTATTAAGTTTAGTGAGGTCAGGGGTAGGTTAGTGAGGGATTTACGGTCATTTGATTATGAGGTGAGATGGTCACATGGGGATGAAGTAATTCTTTAACATAACATCTGTATGCAGAAGTACAGTATACAGGGATAAGAATTTACAATATAGTGTGTGCATCAGTAATTTCTAACAGAGCCTTAAAACAGAAACTTAGTCTTTCCATAACCTATGATTAGCAAGATATTAATCAGCAGTAACAGTTGCAGCAAAAGCTGGTTACAAACAATCCATAGAAACAGGACGTGAAGCTAGACAACGGGTTAGACCAGAAATTCTCAGAAGGGAGTATGCCTTAACCCTAAAGAGGCCTAGAAGAGCCATGGCAAGATGAGGGCGTCTATAGCCCTATCTTATCCATATCGACAGGCGCCCCCATGCGTCCGTTTATAGGCTCTCCACAAGGGTCTCATTCCATTCCCAGAGCTATGAACATCTGCTTTTCTGGGATAGGAATCTTGGTGATATGAAACCTCCCTGACTGCACGTCCATTCATAGGCTCTCTGCAGGGGCAAGCACATCACGTGCTGTTGGCTCATTCTGGCAGTCCAACCTGGGTTGTCGTTACACAATTCTGCATGCAATTTTGTATTTACAATAATCAGGAGCATTTCATCTTTTATTCCGTAGCAATAGTTTCAGGGGGTCTCCCTACAGAAAAATGCATTAAAAAGAATACATCAATGAATATGGGAGTGCATATATAATATACTGTTTTCATTTCCTTTGGATATATATCCAGAACTGGGATTGCTGGATCATATGGTAGTTCCATTTTTAATTTTTTGAGGAATCTCCATACTATTTTCAAAAATGACTGTACCAATTTACAAGCCTACTAAAAGTGTACAAGGGTTCCCTTTTCTCCACATCCTCACCAACACTTACTATCATCTGACTTTTTGATAACAGCCATTCTAACACGTGTGAGGTAATATCACATTGTGTTTATAATTTGCATGTCCCTGATGATTACTGATGCTGAGCATTTTTTCATATACTTTTTCGCCATTTGTATGCTTTTTTGTTTTTTTTTGTTTTTTTTTTTTTTTGGAAATGAACTATCACTCTGTTGCCCAGGCTGGAGTGCAGTGGCGTGATCTCACCTCACTGAAACCTCTGCCTCCAGGGTTCAAGCAATTCTCTGCCTCAGCCTTCTGAGTAGCTGGGATTACAAGTGCCCGCCCCCACACCTGGCTAATTTTTGTATTTTTAGTAGAGACGTGGTTTCACCATCTTGGCCAGCCTGGTCTTGAACTCCTGACCTCATGATCCACCTGCCTCGGCCTCCCAAAGTGCTGAGATTAGAGGTGTGAGCCACCGCACCCAGCCTCTATGTATTCTTTAAAGAAATGTCTACTCAGGTTCTTTGCCCATTTTTAAACCGGGTTCTTTGTTTTCTTACTATTGAATTGTTTGAGTTCCTTATGTATTTTGGATATGAACCCATTATCAGATGTATGGTTTGCAAGTACTTTCTCCCATTCTGCATGCTGCCTCTTCACTGTTATTCATTTCTTTGGCTGTGCAGAAGCTTTTAAATTTGATGCAATACCATTTGTCTAGTTTTGCTTTTGCTGCCTGTGTTTTTGAGGTCTGGAATCAACCTAAGTGTCCATCAGTGGATGAATGGATAAAGAAAATCTGAGGTTTGCGTGTGCACACACACATCCACTTCCACACACACACACACACGAATGCTATCCAGCCTTGAAAAGAAGAAAATCCTGTCAATTAGGACAACATGGATGAACTTGGTGGGCATTATGTTAAGTGGAATAAGCCAGGCACAGAAAGACAAATACCGCATGATCTTACTTATATGTGAAATCTAAAACAGTTGAACACATAGAAGCAGAGAGCAAAATGGTAGCTACCAGGGGCAGCGAAGGGGAGATGGGAAGATGTTGGTCGAAGAGTACAAAGTTTCAGTTAGATAGGAGGAATAAGTTTTGGACGCTTATTCCAAAATAAGTATTGGACTTATGTCACCAATGGACAGCATTGTGACTATAGTTAGTAATAATGCAATATGTACTTGCAAATTGCTAAAAGAGTAGATCTTAAATGTTATCACCATAAAAAATAAATATGAGGGGTGAAGGATATGTTAATTAGCTTGATTTAATTATTGTACAATATATACAGATATTGAAACATTTCATTTTATGCCATAAATATATATAATTTTTGTTTATCAATTAAACCTTGGTAAAGCTGGAAATAAAGTAATAAACTGGACAAATGAATCTTTTGTTAAACTTACTTGAAATTAGTGACCTAAAGTTGTCAAAAGTTTGAGAAATATTATTCTATGTAATTACATTAATTAAATAGCATATATGATAATGTTTCCCTGATGTTTTAGTAGAACTTGTAGCCAAAAATCAGTACAGACTACTTCCTCCCTCTCCAGGGCCCAATTATATAATGTATTCTTTTTATAAGTCAGTGAGTAAAATGTTGAGAACCTGGAGACAAACAGCAAGACAGTTTTCTCAACAAAGTATCCACTTTCTACAACATTGAGTAGCAATCAGATATCACCCACTCTGATTTTTCAGCATTCTGGGAGTGAACATTTTCTACTTTGAGTTTCAAAAGTCTGAGCAGGACTGGGAAATATGTGATCTTGTCAATTATCCAGCCCCCAGCTATCTTGTTAGGAGGTAGATTAAAAAGGTTCATCGACAGTCATGCTGCAGAGACACAACCTTGTCATTTCTTTCTTCCATGAGGTGACCTTCCTTCATTCACATCCAGTGACAACAATGACATCATTTGGGAGGTAGAAGTGGCTGATTTTTTTCTCAGATGGAGCTATTATACAGCAGCAATCATGTAAAAATGTTCATGACATAATTAAAAATACATAAGGAAACACATGCTCTCATTCTGTTTCTTGTTATGACTTAAATATATGATCTCAATGAAATGAAACAAACTAAGCTTGCTGTGCAATGCACCCCACATAACAGTTTAATCAGGTTTGTGTGTTCTCAGATGAAAGATGCATTGTCACATGGCAAATGACCAAAAAACAGTTTTGACCTGCTGAAGCAGTTTTCAACAAGAGTCCTTGTGCACCAAGGCATCTGAATCCCAATGCCTCCTTAACGGTTTGGAAGTTTCACGATATGTATCAAACCTACGTCTCCAAGAGAGTCTTATGTACGTCTCCAAGAGAGTCTTATGTCTCCAAGAGAGATCCAAGAGAGTCTGTTGTGACACACTGTATTTCATTCCTGATATTGGTGATTTGAATCTTCTCTTTTCTTCTGTGTTAATCTTGGTAGAAGTTTGTCAATTATATAGATCATTTTCAAGGACAATTCTATGTTTTATTGAGTTTTTCTACTGTTTTCTTTTTCAATTTTATTGATTTCTGATATTATGTTTATTATTTCCTCCACATGCCTGCAATGTTATTTTGCTCTTCTCTTTTTAGATTCTTAAGCTAGAATCTTAGATTACTGATTACAGACTCTTTTTTTTTTTTTTTTTTTGAGACAGTCTCGCTCTTGTCACCTAGGCTGAGTGCAATGGCAATGGCGTGATCTCGGCTCACTGCAACCTCTGCCTCCTGGGTTCAAGCAGTTCTCCTGCCTCAGCTTCCCGAGCAGCTGGGATTACAGGCACCAGCCACCATGCCCAGCTACTTTTTTTTTTTTTTTTTTTTTTTTTGTATTTTCAGTAGAACCGGGGTTTCACCATGTTGGCTAGGCTGGTCTCGAACTCCTGACCTCAGGTGATCCGCTTGCCTCAGCCTCACAAAGTGCTGGGATTACAGGCATGAGCCACCGTGCCTGGCCCCGAGAGACTCTCTTTTCTAATGTATACATTTAGTACTGTAAATGTCCCTCTTGGCAGTGTTTTAACTATGTTCCACAATTTTTTGTTATGATAAAATATACATAACATAAAATTTACCACTGTAACAATTTTTAAGTGCACACTTCTGTGGCATTAACTACATTCACATACATTTTTTTTCTGAAACTATCAACATCATCTATCTCCAGAAAATTTTCATCTTCTTAAACTGAAACTATATACCTGTTAAAACACTAACTCCCCATTCTCTCTCCTCCCAAACCCTGGACACCACCATTCTACTTTCCATCTCCATGAATTTGACTATTGTAGGTACCTCACATAAATGGAATAATACAATATTTGTCCTTTTGTGACTGGCTTATTTCACTTAGCATGTCTTTATGGTTCATCCATGTAGTAGTAAGTGTCAGAATTTTCTGCCTTCTTAAGTATGAACAATATTCCATCGTATATGCCACACTTTGTTTATCCATTCATCTGTCAGTGGGCCCTTGAGTTGCTTCCACATTTTGGCTCTTGTGACTAATACTGCTGTGAACATCGGTGTACACACATCCGTTAGAGTCCTTGCTTTCAATTCTTTTGTATATATGCCCAGAAATAGAATTGTTGTATCATATTATAATTCTGTGTTTACTATTTTGAGGAACACCCATATCACTTTCCGCAGTAGCTACACCATTTTACATTCCCACTAGCAATGCACAAAGCTTCCAATTTCTTCACACCCTCTTCAACACTTGTTATCTTCTATTTGTTTCATAACAGCCATCCTAATGGGTGTGAAATGATATCTCATTTTGGTTTTGATTTTGATTTCCCTAATGATTAGTGACATTGAGTAGATTCTCATATGCTTTTTTGGCCATCTATGTATGTTCTTTGGAGAGACATCTATTTTGCCCATTTTTAATTGGGCTGTGTGTTGATTATTGAGTTTGTCCCATAAATTTTAATATATCGATTGTAATTTAACTTTAACTCTGTTTCACGTAATTTTTTATTTATCTTGAGATTTCTTCTTTGACCCATGGATTGTTTAGAAATATATTGTTTAGTTTCCAACTGTTTGGAGATTTTCCTGTTATCTTTCTATTGTAGATTTCAAGTTTGCATCCATGTGGAAGGTGAACACACTGTATACTTTTAATACTTTTAAATTTGGTGACATGTATGTGTGTGTGTGTATATGGCTAGGATATAACCTATAGTGTTGTAAGTTCCATGGATACTTTAAAATAAATGTGTTTAGATTTTATTGAATATAATGTCCAGTGTCTTATAAATGATCATTACACATTGTTGATTGGTGATGGTATTCAGTTATTTTATATCCTTCCCAATTTTCTGTCCATGTGTTTTAATAATTGTTAATAGAAAGGTGTTGAAATCTTCAAAATAATTCTGGATTTGTCTATTTCTCCTTTCAGTTCTGTGAGTTTCTTGACATATTTTGCATCTCTGTTTTTTGATGCCTTTAGGATTGCTAAGTCTTCTAGATGGATTAATCTTTATCATTATATAATATCCGTTTCTGTCTCTGGTAATTTTCTTTGTTCTGAAGCATATTAACACAGCCATTCCTGCTTTCCTTTAATTAATGTTTGCATGATATATCTTTTTCTATCCTTCCACTTTTAACTTGCCTGTATCATTATATTTAAAGTGAGTTTCTTGTAGACAGCATATAATTGAAAAGTTATTTAATTCACTGCCAATCTCTTGCCTTTAATTGGTGTGTTTAGACCACCTACATTTTATGTAACTATTGATATGTTGTACCTTAAGTTTGCCATTTTTTTCTGTTTAAGTTTCTCTTCTGCCTTGCCTTTCTGTGGGATAGTTGAATATTTCTTACAATTCATTTTGATTTATTTGTAATTTTTAAAATGTATCTCTTTGCATAGCTATTTTGGTTATTGTTCTAGGTATTATATTACATATACATAACTTATCACAGTCTACCAGTGTTATCATTTTATTGGTTCAAGTGAAGTATAAAAACCCTACCACCTTTTACATCCCTCTACCCTCCCTGGTTATAATATAATTGTCTTCAGTATTTCCTCCACATACATTTAAAACCATACCAGGCAGTATTATAATGTTTGCTTCCACTGTCAAATATAATTTAGAACATGTAAAGGAGAAAGGAAGTCTATGTGTTTACCCACATTTTTGTTCATTTTGTTTATTTTTGTTCTCTTCCCTTCCTGATGTTCTAAGTTTCTTTCTTTTATCCCATCTCTTCTGTCCAAAGAATTTCCTTTAGCCAGTCGTTAGTGTATATCTGTTGGTGACAAATTCTCTTAGCTGGCCTTCGTCTGAGAATGTCTTGATTCCTCTTCATTTCTGAAGAATGTTTTCATTGAATTTGGTATTGTGGGTGAAAATTCTTTTCTTTCAGCACTTGGCATCTCTTCTGTTTTACTGCTTTCAATATTTTCTTTAGTTTTCAGTTGTTTGACTATGATAATTCAATGTGCATTTCATTGGGTTTATTCTGTTCAAGGTTTGCTCAGCTTCTTGAATCAGTAGGTTTAAATCTTTTGCTGAATTTCAGAAGTTTTTAGCCATTATTCCTTTGAGTCTTTTTCAGGCTGCCCTCTTTCTTTTCTCCTTCCTAGACTCAAATGTCAGGTCTTTTGTTACAGTTCCACAGGTTCCTAAGGCCCTGTTCATTTTTTTTTTCAGTCTATTTTCTCTCTATTGTTCACACTGGGAAATTTCTATTGTTATATCACCCAGATCACTTATTCTTATTCTTTTCTCTTTCCCTTTCATATTGTATTATCATTGAGCCCATTCTCTGAGTTTTTATACTTCAGTAAATCTATTTTTTCTGTTTTAAAAATTTTATTGGGTCTTCTTTATGTCTTTTATTTTTTAATGTTTGAATACTTTTGCAAGTTATTTTTTTAACTAACTAATAATTGTATATATTTATGGGGTGCAATGTGATGTTTTGGTATATGCATACATCATACAAAGATTAAATCAAGTTAATTAACATATTCATTACATCATCTTTTTTGTAGTGAGAATGTATAAATCTACTCTTTTAGCAATTTTGAGATACATCTTTTACTTCTTTGCTGAAATTTTCTATTTATTTGTTGATACTTTCTATGATTTTGTTTTAAGCATGTCCATAATTGGTTTCATTTGCCTTGTTATTATTTTTAATATTTTGAGATTTAGGAGGTTTTAATCTTTCTAGTGATAGCTCCAGCTGAATCTCAGTGTTGGACATTTTTCTTGGTCCACCTTTACTTGCCTTAAAGCTCTGTGGTAGGCAGGGGTAAGGCAGATCCCAGTGGAGGTATGGTGCCAGAAACTATTGATTTATATCATTTCCTCACAGTTACATTGAAGTCTCAGCTTTCTTTCTAAGTAATGCTTAGGGTATAACTGTGTGATGTGAGGCTATTTCATGTATTTTGTGAAAGAATTCTTAGAAGATTATTTACTGTCAGTTCATGGTCTACAGCTACCTGACAGACAAGCTTATTTATTAAGCAAAAAAATAATATGGTTGTGACTTTCTCAAGCACTTACATTCTTACTTCTATATTCCTGAATGACCCAATCTCACTTAGGAAATTATTGTGTCATTCAAACTTTGAAATAAACTTTGCAAGTAATTTTGGGGATTGCCTTCCCAGATTCTGTAATTTTCTAATGAATGGGAATATTGGCTGGGACATGGCTGGGTTCTCATCTGTGACAATGGTGAGAGATACTGAATCTAAGTTAAAATGAGTAATAGGAATTCTATAACTTATAGAAGCAGGTGGTCACAGAGTCCTTGTCTCTAATTTGAATCATATAATTACCTAATTTTCAAGTCATCAAGGTCATTTGATTAAATCATTGTCTGTTAATGTTCTTTTCTATTCTGAATTCTTAACATAATCTTCTAATTTAATGCTAATACATTTCCTTAATAGTAACAATAACTACCTTGGAAATACAAAGGAATAAAATGTTTTATATACAATTAAAACAACTAAGCAAGAAATGTATGGAAACTCTATTATAGGCAATGCCAAAACTCTAATCAAATTTATAAAGTATTTCACAGAGTCCCTGTGTGTGAAGAATGAATTTCACAAAGATGACAATTCTTCCTTAATAATTTTTGGTTTCGTCATATTCTCAATATCCAAAATTGTATATAGATACACTTGCAAATAGCTAAGATAATTCTGGGAAGAAAAGCAGATTGAATAGGTAAGTCAACATTTTTGACAGACTAATAAGTGATATTTGTACTACCAAATACTTTATCACAATTATAAATATGTAATCCTAAAAAATGGGCTGCCAGCAGAAGAATCAAATGTCAGAGAAGTGGAAGAAAATTGAATTGAGAAAGGATATGTAAAATAAGTTAAAAATAAAAATAAAATACTGAAAATATTTGTCAAGATTATTAATAACAATGTGTCAATCATGTAAGGCTGACATACATAATACCACAGACTGGGTGGCTTAAACAACAGAAATTTGTTTTCGCACAGTTCTGGAGGCTGGGAAGTCCAAGATCAAGGTGCTGGCTGACTCAGTTCCTGGTGAGGGCTCTCTTCCTGGCCTGTAGTTGGCTGTCTTCTTTCTGAGTCCTTACATGGTAGATAGACAGAGAGAGCTCTGGTGTCTTTTATTTTTGTTTTAAGGGCACCAACCCTATCAAATTAGAACCCTGCCATTATAACCTCATTTAACCTTAATTACCTCCTTATACACCCTATCTCCAAATACAGCCACATTAGGGGCTAGGGCTTTGACATATAAACTGTCATGGAGAGGACATAATTCAGTTATAGCAACCAGGTAGTGTGAAGAATTAGCAGTAAGAGTCAAAAGCACATTAAATTGAAAAAAAATAATAAGTTGATTTTAATATAAATTAAAATTATCTCAATTCCAGTGAATCAACAGATAAATCTGAGATAAAAATGTGTCTCTGCCTCTTTGTTTTTTTTTTTTTTGCATTAGAGCACAGAAGTTCCCACTATCTTCAGGATTATTACCTTAAAACTATTGTGGTATCTCTTTGCACATATGTCTCTGCATATAACTGAAAAATTCATCAAATACAATAACCTATCTTCTTCTGCCACCTGCCATATTATTTGTTCCTTTCGAATTTGTTCCTTGAATGGATGGAGACAGAGAGGCATTGAGGGATAGAGGAGGATGGCAGGTAGCCCTGGCTCTAGCTGTGAAGAAAGCGTACCCACAGAAGAATGCTGAGTTGTCTAGGTTGTTTTTCTCCAAAGTTTCCAGGCTAAGTTATGAGTAATAAAACTCTATTTTAAACTGATATCCCATTCTCCTCAATCTTCCTCTTCCTCTCACAAGGATTCAATACACAGGTCATAATGTGTTTCTCAATCCAGCTTTATCTGCTTCTGGTGGTTCATGGAAACTCCTCTGGGCCCCTTCCCCAATGGTGGACACACATCCCTAGCTCTCAGAATAATTTTTACGTGTTATCTTTAACTGCCTTCATGAGTATTTTACTGGAAAAGGTACTGATAACTTTAAAGTATAAACTGCAATTTAATTTCTATTTAAAATTCTTATTAAAGCTCTTAAATAAAAGAAAAATTCTCACATGACTTGACCTTGCTTATTCATTATTTCTCTCTTAAGTCAGACCAACAGCAGCCTCTTAATTTGCATTGCTGTATTGTTCCTTTTTGATCTCTATCATCATGTCAGTCATTATGCAATGGTTCCCAGGCTATTAAGTTCACAGAATAGAACAAAAGAATGACCTCATAGCCATTTCTTATTTTTCTCACACTCGTCTTCTCATTCAATAGCCTTTCAGAACTATCTGCCCTTGACACACCTTAATACCAAGGTAAATTTTAATGAGCAATTAATCATTTTTGCTCAGCTCCCCATCTGCCCTGCACATTAATTTTCTGTCGAGAATTTGTTTATAATATCTTCACTTAAAACCTCATCTCTCTTCTCTCTTTTATTATTTTTGGGCTTGGTCAAAATCTAAATTTATACAATAGCCAAATGGTTGAGATAAGCAGTTCTCAAAAAACAAAACACACACAAACAAAACAACTTTCATCCCACTGGTTTGCTCACCTGAGATCGTGATAACAATAAACTTTTCCTCTAAGTGTTTTTTTTTAAAACTTTTAAACTAAAATCAACAAACCAGACTGGTTGAGTGGCATTGCAATATAGTAGGAAAGAAAAATGCATAACAATTAGATAGATATGAAATGGAATCTTGCTTTTCTCACTTCACTTAAACCTCTATTATCTTCAAACTTGAGTTTCCTCTTGTCACATGGAATCACTGTGAGAATAAACTTTATTATGTGTGCCAAGTACCTAACATAAGGTTGGCTTCTTGCCCTTCTCCTTAATGCATAGTAGGTTTGTATAGGAGACTTTGGGAAGGTAACTTACTGTGCCTGTCCTGTCTGTGTCTATAGTAGAAACTAAATATAATGTCTAATCTAATTGTTTTAAATATGATGAGGTTGGGTACAGGATTGGCTGGAACTCAACCCCCAAGAATAGATGGGGAGAATGATGAAATAAGAACTAGTAAGAAGCTGGAGGTATGGAACACTCATGAAGGCATAGTGGTTAAGTTATTTAAAGTTCACTCGAAGTATCCAATGCAGATGCAGAGGGGTTAGTATTAGGGCCAGTGTTGATATCTGTATATCTGGATTATCAAGTGGGTTGATAATAGATAACCTTCATTTTACACTTTCTATGTGCCACAGTTCTAAGTACAGTAGCCATTTAGGTAGCAATCATTAATTAAATCACAGCAGGCCACAGCTACATGCTTCCTGCTGATAAGTCCCTTCAAAGCTGGAAGTTAATTAATGAGTTGACCCAACAGAGGCATTTCAGTATCCTAGGGAGAGTTCTAGCAAGAATACAGCAGTGTATGATGTGTGTTTGGTCACAGATTGGATTAAAACTATTCTGGTCTCTCTTTGCACATATATCTCTGCATATAACTGAAAAATTCATCAAACACAATAAACTATTAGTCTTCTTCTGCCACCTGCCATATTATTTGTTCCTTGAATGGATGGAGACAGAGAGGCATTGAGGGATAGAGGAGGATGGCAGGTAG
The DNA here is from genome assembly GCF_000001405.40 of Homo sapiens. Taxonomy (NCBI): domain Eukaryota; kingdom Metazoa; phylum Chordata; class Mammalia; order Primates; family Hominidae; genus Homo; species Homo sapiens. The sequence continues at coordinate 104,405,706 of NC_000009.12, forward strand.
CCCTGGCTCTAGCTGTGAAGAAAGCATACCCACAGAAGAATGCTGAAGTGTCCAGGTTGTTTTTCTCCAAAGTTTCCAAGCTAAGTTATGAGTAATAAAACTCTATTTTAAACTGATTTCCCATTCTCCTCAATCTTCCTCTTCCTCTCACAAGGATTCAATATATAGGTCATAATTGTGTTTCTCAATCCAGCTTTATCTGCTTCTGGTGGTTCATGGAAACTCCTCTGGGCCCCTTCCCAATGGTGGACACACATTCCTAGCTCAGTTCTTTTCCCCAGTTAGAGAAGTGTCATGGCACAGTCTTCATCAATTAATAAATTGTCATAAATTCATTGTCTTGGCACTGCTCAATACTGAGAACTGTATAGGAATAAGTTAACCAATGGAATCAGGCTCTTCCAAAGAGTGGATGGGGAAAATAGAGGCCCACAGACATGGGCAATTTAAAAAATTATTAATGCAGGTCAGAAATATGCAGATGTCATATTATTTTACATTAACTCTGTAAAATTAAGTCTATCACATGTTGACTACGTACTGTGCTATCAAGTGTAGCATATTCCTGATACTTGTGGGGCAAACAATCTAATCATATTAGTGAACTGTGGTTATCATCTTTTTTTTTCTTGTTTTTTTTTTGAGACAGAGTCTCGCTCTGTCACCCAGGCTAGAGTACAGTGGTGCGATCTCGGCTCACTGCAAGCTCCACCTCCCGGGTTCATGCCATTCTCCTTCCTCAGCCTCCCGAGTAGCTGGGACTATGGTTGACCACCACCACGCCTGGCTAATTTTTTGTATTTTTAGTAGAAATGGGATTTCACTGTGTTAGCCAGGATGGTCTCGATCTCCTGACCTTGTGATCTGCCCACCTCGGCCTCCAAAGTGCTGGGATTATCATCTTTTAAATCACCAGGATCCTATCACAGTGCCTCCAACAGCAGACCACTCATGACCTGCCTCAAAATTGTTTGGGAATGCTTTGTTAACCTATGAGTTCTGAAGCCCTTCTTCAGAGTAACTGAATACAAATCTCTTGGGATGGGCCTGGAAATGTGAATTTTTAGAAAGCGCTTCAGATGATTCATTTGCACATGCTAGTTTGAAAACCACTGTTTGATTACCTCTGTGAATCAAACTGTTTTAATTTTCACTGCTCCTTTCCAGACCTTGCCCCAAGTATATACCATTTTTACAGTATTTTAACCATAGTAGAGATATACATTTATACTCTGCTTAAATGATTCATAAGAATGTTCTTGTTGCTAGTCTTTTTTATAGTCATTTTTAATGGCTACATATTATTTTATTGTGATACAGACCATGTTATGTTACTCAATTAATCACTTACAATTCTTTTGCCCCAGATATTATTATTTGTCTGCTTTTGGATTATTTAAGTATGATAGGGTCCCAGAAAATAGGCTTATTGGATCAAAGATTTGGCCCAAATTTTTTAAAAACTGAAATCAAATATAGGCACAATAGCAATTTTCACTTTACATTCACAAAATGAAGCATAAAATCTAAAGCACTTTAGCTTGACAGACATTTGGCCAGAAGTAGAGGGGATGGGAACAGGGGAAAAACCATGGGACATACATAACTTGAAAACTATATCAAAACAGAAGTTTTTTGCAGATGTCTGTGTGTAGAGAGAATAGAACTGCTTTGTAGATGCTTTCTAGACATACATAAAGTGTAAATAAAATCTCAGTGATGGCACAACTTCCTAGAAGTCATTTATAATAATATCCCTTACTTCACCAAGAGATTGTTTCCCATATTTTTATGTGGGACATATAAACCAAGGACTAGAAACAATCTAGTTCCTGTAAGATTCTAATCACATCCTTGCCTCTAGTATTGACTCTACCAATTCACTCTCCTCTCTGTAGCCAGGATCATCTTTTTCAGTCATATGATCATCTTTGATCCTCATTCCACTGTCCCTTAGATAAAATACTGTGCACACATTTTAATATGCTTCCTCATGTGCGGGCCACTTTGCTTCAACCCTACAATGTGCATTTGAGCTTGCTATGTAGAAGGATTTCTGTTAGATCCTTCCTCCTACCTACTTGCTCCGTAGCTTTATTGAACTGCTTAACTTTACCCTTCCAATTTACCCTTGATAACTATGGAACAGCAATTTCTTTTCAACAATTGTATTACCAATTGTTCCCTCATGTCATCGTGCTTTTAAACCAATTATATTGGTGTTGAGACGTTTTCAAAGATTTATAGGTAAATTGTTTTATTTTCCCCATGTGCTTTGCTCCTTTATGTTTTTTGAGATTAGAAAGACATTCCTCAGCCAGGCACAGTGGCTCACGCCTGTAATTCTAGCACTTTGGGAGGCCGAGGTGGGCGGATCATGAGGTCAAGAGATTGAGACCATCCTGGCCAACATGGTGAAATCCCGTCTCTACTAAAAATACAAAAATAAGCTGGACGTGGTGGCATGTTCCTGTAGTCCCAGCTACTCGGGAGGCTGAGGCAGGAGAATCACTTGAACCCGGGAGGCGGAGGTTACAGTGAGCTGAGATTGCGCCACTGCACTCCAGCCTGGTGACAGAGCAAGACTCCATCTCAAAAAAAAAAAAAAAAATACATTCCTCAAATAAAGATAAGATAAATATTTATATTTTATTCTATTACATTTAGTTGTCAGTTAATTGTCAGGTTTTTTTTTACTCAATTCTGTAATCTATCTGAAACTTTTTTGATGACATGATATGAGAAAATGATTTAAATTGTGTTTCCAAAAATTTTAATAAAATCTTCCAACACATTTTTTGTATAATCTATTTTTTCTTCATATTTTGCAATGCCATTTCTACTATGTTCTCCCACTTGCTTATGACAAAATTCAGGTTTCATTCTCAATTGTTTCTTTCCCTTTAGCATCTTGCCACAGACTCTCACCCAATTCTTAACCAAGCCCTTTTGTGTCTATCTCACTTCATCTCTGCCAACAACAGTTGAACCAAGTCACTATCATTTCCCATATGACCACTGTCAGGGGCCTCATAGGTGGTTTCCTGTCAACTTGTCTTCTCTAATGAATTTGCCACAGATCTGCCAAGGTGATAGTTTAAAAATGTAAGTCAAATTATGTTACATTTCCTTGCCACTTAAAACTCTTAAATGGCTTCAAATAAATCCTGGAATCAAAAACCAGATTCAGTCCCAGGGTATATAAAAGTCTATTAAAGTGTGAAAGGAAAATAAATCTTAGGGCACCAAATCACTAAGCTAAAGGGAAAAGTCAAGCTGGGAACTGCTTAGGGCAACCCTGCCTCCCATTCTATTCAAAGTCACCCCTCTGCTCACTGAGATAAACATATATCTGATTGCCTCATTTGGAGAGGCTAATCAGAAACTCAAAAGAATGCAACCACTTGTCTCTTATCTACCTATGACCTAGAAGGCCCTCCTTGCTTTGAGTTGTCCTGCCTTCACCTTGAGTTGTTTCACCTTTCTGCACTGAACCAATGTACATTTTATGCATGCTGATTGATGTCTTGTGTCTCCCTAAAATGTATAAAACCAAGTTGTGCTCCTACCACCTTGGGCACATGTCATCAGGACCTCCTTAGGCTGTGTCATGGGTGTGTGTCCTCAATATTGGCAAAATAAACTTTCTAAATTAACTGAGACCTGTCTCAGATTTTTGTGGTCCACATGTTGGTAACCACAGAAAGATTCTGAGTGGAGATGCCCCTGACTATTGACAAATCTCCTTTTGGTGCTTGGTACCAGCATGAGCTTACTTTATGGCTAAAACCAATAGGATAATTTGCTGAGGTCTTGGAGCACCCCCTCCAGAGAATTCCTGACCTCCCAAAAGTTGGTGGAGATCTAAAGTTTATTTTGCTGTACAACTCCCTGCTCCTCCACCCTTTTTTTCCAGGGTTTTGCTTGCTTCCAACAAGGAAGGCAAGATTTCCCATTTCTATGACAATGGAAGGCAGGAACTCCCTTTATGGAGTTTGAGCTTGCTCCCAGCAGGAAGATGAGTTTGAAGGTTTCTTTTTTCCTGCTTCTGGGATGGTAGAAAGCAGTCTTCAGGCTGAGATCCATCCCTGCATAAGTAGCTGAATTGGGGTTTTGTCTTGGCTAAAGTTTAACAACCAGCTGGTCTTAATTTCTCCTTACCATTAGAACACTCAGTGATCACATTATTGGGTTTTTTGTTGTTGTTTGTTCTGGTCTTTCTCCCATCAGATTTCACCAACTCTACCTGGCTTGGTCAAATCTTAGTGAGAATTACAAATTATGGGAACAAAGCCTCTGTAATTTGGCTAAAATTCCTCGCAACTGCAAAAGAGGAAAAAAAAAACCACATGCTTCATTTCTGGTTTGCTTCCTGCCTTAAAAAAAAAGTTCTTTAATTTACTTTTCTCCCACCCTATACCTCCTTCCCCCTTTGCCATATGCGGTACCAAAAAATCTAGAGAAGGCTTCTAATGACTTGAACCCCTTAAAAGAATTCAGAACAAAGGGTGACTCACCCATTTTGGGGTGTTCTGTTTTCTTTGTAAAGTTTCAAGAGTCATGGGACGATTCTTCTTAGGTCTAAAGCTCTGTTTTCCAGTATTGCATGACCTGACCTCTTCGGCTTTGGCGTACCAGAGATTACCTTGTACGGTGAGAGGATTTGACCTGGCATGTGTAATGGCAGATGAGAGCTATGGAGTTAGGGGTGGCAGAGCATAGTTTACAGGAAATGGTCTTGGCTGTTGTCTTTTTCTCTCCTAGGAAGTGGTTGTTTAAGGATCCTAATTCTAGTTCAGAGATGCATTCTAACGGGTCTTCTCTATTGATTTTTCTCCCAAAATTAATCTTGATTCAGCTTGCCTGTGAACATTTGCATGAGGAACTGAACTATTGTTTTCATAGGTAAATGAGAGAATGAGGTTTCTCAGCTCTGAAGAGAAAGGGCATTTGCTCCTCCCAGCTGAAAGTCACTCCTGGGTAACCAGGGGCCTTGTGGGAGTGTTGGGGACACAGGGAGCCACAGGGAAATCCCCACAAAAATTAATTTTAAAAAAAGTCTCATCCAGGAAACACATATAAGGGTGAATCACCCAATATTTTGAGCCCTCTCAGGGGTCGTAGACCTCTGGAGAGAGAAACTGAGACATGTAAGAAGGTGGAAATGATTCAGTGGTGACACACTGTGGAGTCCTACCCACAAGCAGCAAACATCGATCCAGCACACAAAAACCCTAGGCCACAGCTCAGTTCCTCCGAGAAAAAAAGTGGGAAACAAATAATCCAAGAATGAGGAGAAAACAAGGAGAATAACCCACTTTCAAGCACTCTGTAGGTTTTATGGTACCTCTACTTGCCAGAGTTTATGAAAAATGGCTATATTAAGGAAAAAGAGTCCTATGGTCAACGTGCAAAGTACAGAATTTCTAAGTTCCTTTCTTCTCTAGTTTTCTTTTCTGCCTTCTTTGAATCTGTTATTTTTATATTAAGATAAAAATCACTGGATTCAACAGGTTCTTTTGTAAGCTGGTGAATTTGTATTTATCTCATGACTAAAGTACTGAAGTAAAAGCTCTAGGATCTGTGTGTGTGTGTGTGTGTGTGTGTGTATTTAAAAGGCCTTTATAATCTCTATAATTTTATGTATAATTGGCAATTAAATCCATTTTAATTGGCTTATGAAAATAAAAGCACTTGAATCAAACACTATCAGAAAAAAGAAAAGGCTAGTCTAATGCTTTTTCAGGTTTATTTAACTTAAGTAAAATAATACATAAGCTGGCTTTATTAGAAATGTCTTAAGAATTGCCAGCATAAAATTTTTTGCATTTATTAAGCAATTTCACACTATCCCAGCCAAATACTATACGGTGTTAAAATTTGGCATAAGGTTACCAAACTATAAACCCAGCCCAAAACAGAATGATCTTTGCTTACATAATCTTTAATAAATAAGACATTGGTTTACTAATAATAGCTACATCTTGAATTTATTAAGATTAACATAACTTCTAATCTTGTGGCTTTAGGCAGTCTAGTCCACGGGCAGTAAGGTTTGTTTTGGCAAGAGATTGTTATCATCTTTGTTTCACAGCTAAACTATAAGCTAAGTTCCTCCAAAGCTAGTTCTGCCTATGCCCAGGAATGAACAAGGACAGCTTGGAGGTTAGAAGCAAGAAGGAGTCAGGTTAGATATTTTTCACTGTTTCAGTTATAGTTTTGCAATAGTGTTTCCATAAATTTAAATGATTATCAGAGTTTTCATAAATAATCTAGGTAAATGATTAAAATAAAATAATTATGTAAATGTAATGGGATAAATACATGTAAACAAACTCATCATAACTTAGAATATAAAGTTATATTGAGTTAAATAATAGATATTTCATTATATGGGTATTTTCCAATAAAATACCAAAAAAATTTATTCATAGGAAAACATTCTTTCTAAAAAAAACAGTGTTTCCTTTTTAAAAAGGTGAATAGTTTTTGTCTAATTCAAAACTTATGTAAAGGTTATATATAAAACAAGGTAAAAAAAAAAACCAGGAAATAAGAGAGATGTAAAGAAAGTTATTAAAATAGTTTCTTTTTTGGTAAGCAAGCTTAAAGGAAATAATTTCATATGAGAAAGAATCTTGTATGGTAGATTTAGTCCTAAAATAAAATGACTGATTGCTTAAGAGGGATGTTCAGGACAAACCAGAAAGTTCAAGCATGTCATGAATGGTCTGTGTAAGTCACAATAAGATGATTTATTAAATCACAATAAGAGGATTTATTAAAAAAATCTTTTATATAATCCAGTTGTCTATTAATTAAAGGAAAATTATAGTGGTCTTTCTAAAGCTAAGCTTAATGTAAAAAACACATACACTAAATAATTGATTAGAACAATGAAATTTTCTTAAGGGATTGATTTACTCTTAATAAGTTATAAGAGATACTGATTTTTTTAAATAAAAGTGCAACTTTTATTGCATCTCACACTTTTCAGTTTTCTCTCTCCTTTTAAAGGGTACAAAATAGTAGCACTCTCCTTCAACTCATTTTCAGCTAAGTTTTTTTCCCTCAAGTTCTGTTTGTTGTGGCCTGAGGCTAACAATGTTTTCTTAAAGGTCCAAAGAAAATGTTTTCTTCCAACGTAATATTCTGTGCAGTGCAGAAGGTCTTTCCTTTTGCCTAACAGATTTTTCATTTTATTGAAATAATTCCTATGCCATTATCATTAAATTTTGGTTTGCTTAGGAAAAAAACTGAGATGTAAAAACCTTTTTTTAAAATTAAGGTTATTATATCCTTGCATCTTTCTGTATGTTCTTTTAAAGTACTTATGACGTTAAGTCACAGGGCCTTGACTCCTGGTTCTAAAAAGGACACCATGTCCTGCTAAGTCTTAAACACTGACAGCAATTAAAACTTCATCTTCAGGTCGGGTAGAAGAAGCCAATCAAAATAAACTGCATTCCTGAGACACAGGACAAGAAATTAAAGTTATTCAATTCCTCATGGCCCAGGGACTATCATGGAAGAGGTGGGCACGTGAGATTGTAAGGGCCAACTTTGAGTGATAAAATAAGTTCAGTTTCTCTATAAATTAATCATCAATGTCAAAGGCACACTGATGCAAGACCAGCATATGGGCTGGTGTGTCAGATTAACAAGATTTTCTTAAGCATTAACTGACCCTTTAATAAAGGTTATAAAGGTTATAAAAGGCTTATGGAAGTTACATCTTATAGTCAAGATTAAAATTTTATAGATTGTTTATAAAATTTTGAAAAACAAATTTAATTGGTTTCATGCTGTTTTATTAGGACTTATTGTTTGGAAAATTAAGTCTTCTCTCTCAAAGAATGAAGATTTTTACCTTTTTTTGAAATCCTTTAATTATCACTTTGGTCAAATCAATGACTTATTTTACAATGACCTGTGATATCAAGTGTTTTAAACCTCTGATATTTGACAAACTTTCCAAAATCAAATTATAAAGTATGTCTTTCTCTGACCTCATTAATCCTTTAAGATACTAGATTCCCTAAGATCCAAAAATGACATAATTTGGCATACTTGTTATAAAAACTATATAGGAAACACTGCCAAATATGGAATGGTGTTTGCTTTTCTTTGGGCTGTATTTGTATAAGTATGATATTGGTATGTGTTCCAAAATTATGGGAAATCCCTATAATTCTGATATGACTTAGTGTACATTATCAGTAATAACTATAATTGTTATGTTAAATTATTGTGCACCACAGAGGTAACAAATTTCCTTGTCAATTGTGTTCTTGACTATGGCTGCCCTAAAACTTTTTGTCATCCTCGGGCAATTGTTCTCTTATTTTGGTCCTATTTAGAAGGTGGTTTTATAATCAGCTCTAAAACTCTAACAGGTGCTCTTGAATACAACTTTCTAATAACGTTGGAGATTGTGACATCAGAATAGAAGAAAAACTTTTAGGAATCATGGAGAACTGAAATGTTCATGAATATCCAGAAGAATAGGAATTAACTACATGGACAGAACTAATAGAAGACTGAAGTAAACTTTTTGACTTTTGCTTAAAACATTGCTGATCCTTTGTTTAGTTTTTTGACTCAAGGAAATTTTTCTTTTGAGCTATTGAGAGGTTTTAACAATTTAGTATATTTCTATGAACAAAATTTAGAACATATTGATTTCTCCAGAATTTGGAAACTATTTGTGAGTATTCTTAACTTACGGCAATATCGTTATTTGCATAAGTACAATAAGAATCTGTTTTCATTTAAAACAGGACACAATTGGAGAAACTGGTTATTTTACCAAGGCTTTGACTGGAATGGTGCACTTTCCTTTAAGGATCAAACATGACTTATGGAGCCAATTAAATCCCCTTGGGAAAACTGGCCTCATTGCTTGTCTACACAGTTCCTGTCCAGGGTTCCTGACTTACGGTAAGTAACAAATGTCACTTTCTGGGAGGCCCAGGAGCCCCAAGTTTATCTCAGAACCTCAAAAGGAGAGGAATTCACCCAACTCATAGGTATTCGATGGTACAAATCCATGGCTGGGCTTGGCTTTATAAAAGTCTTATCTGAGATTCCTTTTATGGAACAAAGTTCCATCAAAGCCAACTTAAAAGCTTGTGTAAAAAATATTATTCTTGCTATACTATATACAAATAAGCAGGCCAAGTATAACAAAGCAAATCAGTCTTACCATGTTCTGTCTTTAATAAAAATGGGAAACTCGAGAAAGAAAAATTTTGTTTCGAAAACTAAATTTAGATTCTAGTCTTACCTAATGTTTTTCAATTTTTATTATTTTCTAGAGGTGGGACTGAATTCTAATTTTTATTATTTTCTAAAGGTGGGACTGAATTCTAATTTTTCTTGGCTACAAGTCTTCAAAATAATGTTTTCAATTTTTTTCCTTCCCCCTGCCATTTTTCCTATCTGGAGTCACTGAAAACTAAGCTGTGTTTTCATAAAGCCCTGTGAACTGAAGCCAGACAACTTAAACTTCAGAAGAAAGTAACAGCAACCTATTTACATACATAAGCCAGTCTCATACCTGCCTACTGATGTATGGACTTCAGAGTAATGTGGCCTACACCAATATTTCAGGATTGTTCTTTTGTTTGTTGTTGTTTTTCTCCCTTCCTCTCCCTATTTTCTCTTCACAGGATGTGAGACTTCACAACCTGCTAAAAATGAACTTTCCTAATAACTCGGGACCTACCCATCTAGGAATAAACCATCCTATTCATGACAGGTAAGACAAAACCTGAGACCAGAGACTCATTTTTTCCTAAAATGCTTTCTCCAAGAGATTTTAAAAAAGAAAAGGGGGGAAATGTGAAAGGAAAATAAATCTTGGGGCCCCAAAATCACTAAGCTAAGGGGAAAAGTCAAGCTGGGAACTTGCCCCCCATTCTATTCAAAGTCACCCTTCTGCTCACTGACATAAATGCATATCTGATTGCCTCATTTGGAGAGGCTAATCAGAAACTCAAAAGAATGTAACTATTTGTCTCTTATCTACCTATGACCTGAAAGCCCTTCCCTGCTTTGAGTTGTCCCGTCTTCACCTCAAGTTGTCCCACCTTTCTACACTGAACCAATGTACACATATTGATTGATGTCTCATGTCTCCCTAAAATGTATAAAACCAAACTGTGCTCCTACCACCTTGGGCACATGTTTTCGGACCTCTTGATTCTGTGTCACAAGCATGCATCCTTAACATTATCAAAATAAACTTTCTAAATTAACTGAGACCTGTCTCAGATTTTCAGTCTTCACAAAAGTAACTATTTTAAAAACTAAATCTGTAATTTGAAATACTTTTATAAAGAAACCCCTAGGTCCAGTTTGCTTCAGCAGTAAATTTTTCCAAAGATCTACAGAAAAAATAACTCCAATCTTGGACAAACATTTAAAAAGAGGGGACTCTTCTTAATTTGTTTTAGGAAGCCAGTAACCGCAGAATATTAAATATCTGATAAGGTCATCATGTGGAGAAAATATTATAACTCATTTTATTCATGAACGTATATATAAAACTTTAAATAAAATGTTAGGAAATTGAATATAAATATAAGTTGAAAATAAAATGGTAGAAAAATGAAATAATTTTTTTAGAAAGTGAATATATTGAAGCCATATTGGCTTTATTTTAGGAATAGCAATCTTCCTCAAACAAATCAGATCACTCCCTAACCTGGCTTATTGCTTAACACTTTTCAAAGGATCCATATTTCCTATCCCAATCATATATATAGTCTGAGTAAGTAACCTCCACTTACATCTCTAGTCTTTTTCTCTCCAGTAGCCCCATATCCTCTTTGCATTTCAGTTACACTGAATTGAAAGTTCTACAGAATAGTTGCTGTAATGTAATGCCTGTGAATTTACTATTTCCTTTCACTGGAGTTCCTTGTTAGCATTCCTGCCTACTCATTCAAGACATAATACAGATCTCATTTACTCTTGAAAGACTTTCTTATCCCCAGGCATATTTAATAGGTTCTTCTTTTGCTTCCCTACAGCTCTTTGAACACTGCATTAACATTTTCAGTTTACTTTTCCTTCTCCTGCACCAGGCTACACATATGTTAGGAGAAGAGAGTATTATTATAATTATTAACATTTTAGCACTTAACCCAGTGCTTGATATTTAACAGGGAATAGAAATCAAAGACTAAGAAATCCAAAGTTGCCTTTTCTATGTCAAAATTATTATGATTCTATATTAGTGCAGGCTAACTTAATGATGTTGGAGGAAGAGTGTAGAATTTGATGTTCAAATCAAGCTGCTAACTGCTTTCTTCTTCAACATTCTTCATGATAAATTGTACACACCAAGATGTAAGCCAAATGGCAAAGCAACTGTTTGAGAGCCACCAGTACATAACTTCCTAGTAAAATTGATTGAACAATGTGGTCTATTTCCTAATCTGGCTTCCTTTCTCTGAGGTTCCATTCTCTCCCTAAACTCTCCAAATTTTGAAATCTTTCATGTATCTCTCAGAAAACCCTATGACATTCAGATGAAGGGATCACTGTCCCTGGATTTACCCCTCTTCATCATGCTTGTCTCCAAGTCAGAGTCCTGCTATTTGGAGATGCCTCCTAGAACTTTAATAAGATCACCAATGATGGCTTTTCCACCTAAAACCCACAGAATAGTCAGTGATTGGGCTTTGAAACAGGAGCTATGAAACTTCAAGTCTCATGGCCTATGGGTTCATGGTACCTCGGTGACAGTTACTCAATACAGTGTGTACACACACATTTTCTTAACCATTGCCACATTAGATCATATCACTATGCCCCATTTCCAGTCTAGTCAAAATCACTATGATGAAGAAGATAAATCTAACAAATTTGACCTCTGCAAGATGATTCATCCTTATTTTGTCATAACTGAAGTGACTGTTGCACAGAAAAAGTCAGCAACTTTTCTTTCTCTACCTAGGAGATAACTAAAATCATCAAGGATAAAGTCTCATTGTTATCTTAATAGGGCTTTAAGATCATTTATTTTGGTAAGACCCCAATAAATCTAGTCTGCTTATTTCAATCTTGTTCCAGACAGGATAAGAGGAGATAGTAGACAGATTTTCTCTTTAATCGCATTAATACCAAAAAAAATTAAATTAGTCATATTATTAGATTATAAAATTTCTGTAAAGCAAGTCCAAGTCTCTGGCCATTAAAGATATTCTACAAAATAGTTTCCTCTTCTTTGCCTGAACTTCATAAAGAAAATTTTCTTATTGTAACTCTAACTTCCACAGATATTAAGGCTTTTTGATGACAAACAGACCTGATTTGTTCAACACACTTTGAGTACTTACTTTGTCTTCAAAATTCAATGAACACTTTTACATAGATGCTTTAATTCTTATACTGTTCTATGAGATAAGTGATCATAGCCTCAATTTACAGATGTGAAAATAGGTTATGAGATAAAACCTCAGGTTTTATTTTTCTACAAATTCCCAGCCAACTCACCAGGGTAGCAGGGAAGAAGGGATTCAGGATAGCCACTCTGAGATATCATACATGTGCCTCTGTCTGGGGCATCTTATTTTTACTCCTCTGAGAAAGGGCATATGAGGCAAGGCCTAAGTAGGGAGTGAGTACTTCCTTTTCACTAAAACACAGAGTCAAAGAAGCAGAAGTGACTGTAGAAATGGAATGATTTGATGGTATTCTAGAAAACTTTTATTCATAAACTACAGATTTCTGTGTGTTCTTCAGGGGAGGTCAATTTGGAAAATTTGCTGCCAACTTCTAATGTTCTGATTATACCCAGTGAGAGGTTGCACGTGTGTCGTATTTTCTCAAGACATAAATTTCCATTTTTGCTAATTTGTAATTAGAAAGCCTTTTGGTTTGCAAAGCACATTTAAAACCATGAAAAGGATGGCAGCATTTTCTACAGATGCAGTTACAAATGACAGAGATTACCCTGTGCATTTGTGTGTGTTTAAGATGATCTGTAATTGTTTTGCCCTCAGAACACTACTTAGCCAAGAAGAGGTCAGTTCTAGTCTTGAACTTATTCTTAAAGAGCTAAGCTTAATTGTCTTATAATTGTGTGGGAAACCCAAGCAGAGTTTATTGTTTACTCTTGAGGAAACAGCAGGATGATGTTAAGTCTCTGCAGGGTGCTCTGCAGATCACAAATTTTCTTCAAATTGCTCAGCAAATTGTGGTAGGGTAAAAAGAGACAGGCAACTACACCTTGTACTGGACTTAAAAATTTTTATCTTTTTAAACTGTTTGTATACATATAAATATGCATTGTCTTAATTTTAATTTTCATGGACATTTTAATAAAAGAACATCATTAAAGCAATGCAGCAAAGGTACTTGGGGTTTTAGAGGAATTCGCCTCTTGGCAAAATCCCAGGGAGCCATGGGAAACTGGCTTTCTCATTTAATTTAAATTCAAAAACATGCTTTATGGGTGTATTAGTCTGTTCTCATGCTGCTAATAAAGACATATCCAAGACTGGGTGATTTATAAAGGAAAGAGGTTTAATTGACTCACAGTTCCAAATGGCTGGGGAGGTCTCAGGATATTAACAATCATAGTGGAAGGGGGAGCAAACGCATCCTTCTTCACATTGTGGCAGGAGAGAGAAGTGCCGAACAAAAGGGGGAAAAGTCCCTTATAAAATCATCAGATCTCGTGAGAACTCACCCACTATCATGAGAACAGCATGAGGGTAACTGCCCCCATAATTAAATTACCTCCTACTGGGTCCCTCTCAGTACACGTGGGGATTATGGGAACAACGATTCAAGATGAGATTTGGGTGGGGACACAGCTAGGCCATATCAATGGGGAAACTCACGAAGACAAAAACATATCATTAACTGGAGCATCCAATGGGACTGAGTTATGGCTCCGTAATATAGATATAAATACAAATTGATTCAATTGCCAATTTCAACATTCATGGTGACATTAATTCTTCTGTTAAATTTTACTGGGGTCTTTAGGTCCCAAATATTGTATCCCCAGCAATACACGTGTAGTCAGCTACAAAACCCATATTTTAAACTCTATTTAGAAAAATATTTTATAAATTTTGCCTATGTGCCAGAAATCTGGCTGTGTTCTGTTGCTGGTACACATTACTTTCCCTTTCACTTATGTTAACTTATACCATTCACTCCAACCCTTTGTTTTCTGCCATTTAGATGGCATTTTCCTCCATCTCCACTTCCCAACCATCGAACATCCAACTAATATTTGTTGAGTGCATGATAAATACTAAGCACTATTTTCTAAGACATTCGTTTTCTCACTTAATCATTACCTAAAGCAAGTAGATAATATTATACTCATTTTTAAAAAAAGAAAATTGAGACTCAAAAGTTTAAGACTATGGGGTCAGTTAGCTAGAAAGAGAGGGAAAGTATTCTCCTTCCCCAGAAATCTTTGTCTTACCATATCCTTAGCTCCCTAGCATTTCTCCTTAATTTGGACGATACCCCTCTCTGACAAAAAATTCTTCCTTGGATAACTTCTCTTCACACCTTAACGTAGTTTTTTTTTTTTAAATTTGTCTTTCCATATCTCATTCCCTAAACACCCTAACCTATAAGGCAAAATTAAATCCATCACATTAATTCATTAATATGGGTTCTATTTTTGTTTTTCTAAAACTTATGAAATTTTGGGTAACTTTCATTAAGAACATGTTTTATTTTTCCAAAATATTTATCGTGGGATTTAGGAAAAATAACTTCTAATATGTTAATAATATACAGAGTGCATACCTTTTATGTGAAAATAATGCTGTATTTTACAAAACCTTTCCTAGCAATCTCTCCTGTAGCTGTCCTAGTCTAGGTCTTTATAAGTAGTACCTAGATTGTTGAAGCTGTATTCTAATTGATCTCCGTGCTTTCCAGTGTATCTCACTTGACTATTTGAAGCTAGTGGATTAATTTTCCTGAAATACAGTGCCAATCCTATAACTTTCTAATTCAGACACGTTTGATTACTCCAAATTGGTTATTGAATAAATTGCTAAATTAGTACCTTGCCCTTTAGTGAGTTATCAGATTGGGTTCACATTTCTTTTTAAAAAATATTTTGTACCACTTTTTGAAAACACTCCAACCAGATAGAAATAGCTGATCGTCCCAATAAGTGCTAAATACTTATTTACTAAGTATTTAGTATAAATACTAAGCATGTTGATGCTATTCATATTTTAGCAATTTCCTTAACAACTCTTGATAAGTTTCTTACATTTTAATCATACTCACCAAGATATATTACCAGGTTATCTGTGGAATTTACTCTTCCTATTTAGAAATAACTTTCCTTCCCATCTCTAAATTTCCAATTCATTGTCTACGCCGCTTTTATAAAATTTGTAACTTTCTGTTGTGTTGTTGACATCGTATTTCCATATTAGAAATAGAGGAAAAAAATACATGTTTGATTGTTTTTATTCCAAATAATCTAGCAAAGTCTCATTTTTTTTACCATCTATTTTTGTTAAAAATGACCATGCAAATTGTAGTCACAATAGGGCATTTGTCCCGTTGGATAAAGAACAATATTGAAACCTTCAAATTGTGATATCCTTGAGTAAAAGATCATAATCTTTCATATATATATGTGTGTGTGTGTGTGTGTGTGTGTGTGTATATATATATATATATATATATATATATTCCCTGTTACAGTTATTCCCTGTAACTAGTACTATATGTTTTTGTAACACTCTAATTCTTCTCCAAACTGTGCCACTTATTACATTGCATTATAATTATTTAAATTCATCTCTCCTCCTAGTTATCCTATGAATTCCTGAAAAATAGAAACCATGCATTATTTAGTTTTATATGTCCAGGTTTAAAAATAGCTCCTACTTGCTGTTAAAATAAGCATTAAACTTAAAATTTAATAAAATTATTAAAGGTACTTTAGTCAAATTCAAACTAGATATTCAAAAGTCATCAGAAAAAAATTAAAATGAATTATTAATAATATCTAAGAGGAATAAGCTTAGTCAAAATGCTTAGCTTCATAAAATGTCCTCAAATACAAGTCTAAAAATAACCAAAATAATATCACTGACAATTTTTATCTTTCTGGGAAAATATTCATCCTAAAAATAAACTAGAGAATCAGTTTGTGAAAAAATCATTCTGTTATAGAACACAGCAGGATGTTTTTCCAATAGAATAACCCCAATTATTATGACCAAAAGATTTCAACAGCCAACAGAATAGAAGCTTCTTAGAATACTGGATGAAGTACCATTTTAGAAACTAGTCCAAAGAGCCCTGAATTTTGATTCACGTCTCGATTGCAGCTCTTGTCTTGCAAACTCTTTAATCTTAGAAAATCATTTCTCTTCTCTGATGCTGTTTTCTTGTCTACAAAATGAGGCAATTTACTGATGACATCTTTTTTGAGTTATACACTTTTATTATTTTAAGCCTGAATGTCATAATCTCTAATTTAGGACTATATATTAACTTGAAAGCAGAAAGCTATTATAAGGTGATGTTGGGAGTCAATTGACTTATTTGTGAAAAACCTCTGTATGGTTAATTATTTATTCTGTTTCTTTTCATTGGTTCACTAATTTTTTTTTCACTTTCAAGTCTGTTGGGTTTTGTTTACTTGTTTGTTTATAAGGAATATTAATGTATATGAATAGTACAGCTTAAAACTATTCTGCTTTTTGATGCCAAGGTGTGCTTTGCATCTGAAACCATGAAAAGTACATAGAAAAAAAGGAATATTTTGTAGTCAATATGAGCTATTTAATTTCCTGTTTAGCAACAGCCACCAGAAAAATTTCTTATAGGGATTCTTTGACCTTCAGGTCCAGTGGCTAATGAGCCTCACTATGACATTGAACCCTGAAATGTTTGTTTGAGTGAAGTGAGAACCATAGTTGCCATACAAACATAAACATTTTGTTAATGCTTTCTGTTAGTAGAATGTTTTTAAAGATGATCTTTGGCTCTGTTTATATTCTATCACCTTACCCTTAACTGAGGGGCAGATACCTAACAAACGTTGAACCAGTCCATAGCTCTCTTCGAGAATTTGAAATGGATACAGTAAATGAGAATCAATAAGCCTGACAATCTCTGGCCCTGAAAGATTTATGGACACTTATTGCCTGAAGCTCCTAGAGTGTCCATGATTTCCGCCTTTTCCATTTTGACTATAAAACACTGATGAAAGAAAATGAAGAGGACACCAAAAAAAATAGAAAGATATTCCATGTGCATGGATTGGAAGAATCAATATTGTTGAAATGTCCATACTATTCAAAGCAGTCAACAGACTAAATGCAACCCCTATCAAAATATCAATGACATTCTTCACAGAAATAGAAAAAAGAATCCTAAAACTTATATGAAACCCCTAAAGTTCCAGAATAGCTAAAGGTGTCCTAAGCAGGAAGAACAAAACTAGAGGAATGACACTACCTGACTTCAAATTATACTACAGAGCTATAGTAACCAAAACAGCACAGCACTGGCATAAAAACAGACACAGAACAACGGAACAGAATAGAGAACCCAGAAACAAATCCATACATTTACAGTGAACTCACTTTTGACAAAGGTGCCAAGAACATACACTGGGGAAAAGATAGTCTCTTTAGTAAATGGTGCTGGGGAAACTAGATATCCATATGCAGAAGAGTGAAATGAGACCCTATCTCTTGCCATATACAAAAATAAATCAAAATGAATTAAAGACTTAAATCTAAGCCCTCAAACTATGAAACTACTACAAGAAGACACTGGAGAAACTCTCCAATACATTGGTCTGGGCAAAAATTTCTTGAGTGATACCCCACAAGAATAGGCAGTTAAAGCAAAAATGGACAAATGGGATCATGTTGAGTTAAAACGCTTCTGCACAACTAAGGAAACAATCAACAAAGTAAAGAGAGAGCCCACAGAATGAGAGAAGATATTTACAAACTACCCTTCTGACAAGGGATTAAGCCAGAATATAAAAGGAGGAGCTTAAACAACTCTACAGGAAAAAGTCTAATAATCCAATTTAAAAATGGGCAAATCTCACCTCTCAACAATGGCAAAAGGAAAGACAAGTAGAAATTATTGAGAAGACAAAAATCTGTACCAGAATAAAAAGTCAAATGTGGCCCAATTGTGAATAGTTGATAAAACATGGGAAAATAGAATTTGTTTACTTGGATGCTTGATTCTTCTTCAGCTGACAAGATCTTTGGATTTTACAATTACATTTGCTTTCCTATACATTTTTAATGCTATTCTGTCTATATTGATTAACATTTAGAATAAACTTATAGGCTAAAAAGGTTTTTATATTTCAGAAGCAAATGAAAATGTTATAAATCATGACAATTTATGAGTTCACCTGACAGAAAAATGACAAAGAAAATAGTCATCAGAGATTTTAAAAAGTGAAAATTAAAATGTATTTATTCTAAATAGATATTAAGGAATCTTATAATTCACTCATAAAGTCAGTCAATTGAAACTTAAGGATGTATGTAATTTGAAGTTATATTACCTATAGGACAACCACACACACACACATACACACACGTACACATATACAATTTATTTTTTTTAATGGGAAGATAACTGAAAAAGGGGATGAGAAGTAGTGGAAGTACACTAAATTGCTTTAAACAACAGAGAATCCCTAGGTATCATCTAAAATACTTTAAAATATTTACTTTCAGAAAAAAGAATTAGGAATAGTGGATGTTGCAGATATGGGTCTTTGCTTTTATGTCTTTTTGTGTGCTCCTTGCTATTTTCCCTCCGTATATGAACTGGTTTGTATTATTCAAACAGTAATCTTTGAATTAATGATAGCAAGAGGAGAAAAGGTGAATAAAGAGTCCTAATATTATGGAATGGAATGGAATTAGCCTAGTAAAACATAAGACTATTAGAAATTTTCTAGGTTAACATCTTTTTAATTTCTGAGGTAATTTTGTTTTTCTATGAGGATAATATTTTTTCTGAATGTTTTCCTTTCCCGCTCCTGAAGTATGCAATGATCAATGCCACATGCATACAATAGATCAAGACAATATTGATTCTTCCATTCCATGAACATGGAATATTTTTTCATTTTGGGGGATTCTTTCCAATTTCTTTCATCAGCATTTTATAGTTTTCATTATAGAGATCTTTAACTTCTTTGTTAAAGTTAATATCTACGCATTTAATTTTATTTGTGGCTATAGTAAATGGAATCATCTTTTTCAGGTTGTTCACAGTTGGTATGTACTCTAGGGTTTCTTGTGAATACAAAATAAAATTATATAGCAAAAACCTTACATATGGCAAAACACTTAATAATGTAGCCAACATCCACTTGTGTTTCTTAACGGTGTTATTGAGGTACAAATTATACTAAAATAAAATTCATCCCTTTTAAGTACACAGTAAGGTGACTTTTGGCAAATGTCCACAGTCATGTTACCACCATTACAATAAAAATATAGAGCACTTCCATCACCACAAAAAGTTTTATCGTGCCCTTTTACAGTCAATACCCTCAATCATTGGCCCCAGGCAATTGATAATTTGCTTTCTGTCAACACATGTCACCTTTTCTAGACTTTCACAAAAATTAAATCAGAGTGTACGAATACAGACTTTGCATCTGGCTTCTTTTGCTTAACATAATATATTTGAGATTCATTCATATTATTGCATGTATCAGTAATTTATTCTATTTTATTTTAAGTAGTGCCCTATTGTGTAGATATACTGCAATGTGTTTATCCATTGAGTAGTTGATGGACATTTTTGTTGTTCCATTGTAGAGCTATTTAATGTTGCTATGAACATTTAGGTAAAGGCCTTTGTGTGGATATAAACTTTTATTTTTCTCAGATAGAAATATAGGACTACAACTGCTGAGTCTTATATGATAATAGTATGTTCAACTTCATAGAAAAAGATAAAACACTGCCAGCTGGTTTATAAAAGTGGCCCTATCAACACTGGCATTTTCAGTCTTTTTATTTTAGTCATTCTAGTGAGTGAATAGTGCTATCTCATTTGTGTTCCTCTGACTACTAGTGATGTTGAGCACATTTTCATAAACTTGTTTTCCATTCTCATATCTTCTTTTACAAAGTATCTGTCCAAATAATTTGCTCATTTTTTTATTGATGAAGAAGACAACATATTGTTAGGTTATTGGACTCCTTATATATTCTGAATACAATTTTTTGTTAAATGACATGTTGCAAATATTTTCATCCAAACTTAAACTACAATTTAAGTTTTCATTTTCTTAACTTTGAATATATTTTCTATACGATTCAGAAAATTTGTGGCCATTAATTCTTCAACTATTTTTCTGCCTTTTCTTTTGGTCCTCCCTTTTTCTGAATCACTATATGTATGCTGGGTCATTTTACATTGTTGCACTAGTTTCTGAATCTGTTTTATTTTCTTTAATATTTTCTGTCTTTCTTCTGAACGGAATAATTTTTACTAATCTATATTTAACTTCACTTATTCTTTTCCAGTTTTCTCACATTTGCAGTTGAGCCTATTTAGTAAATTTTTTTTTTCATTTTGGTGATTTACATAATGTCCCCTTTATTCACTTTTTTAATATTTTACATTGCTCCATTGATATTCTCTATCTGTTCACTTGTTAATAATACCCATATCCAAGCCAACTCAGTTTCAATTTCTACTGAGTGCATTTTTCTTGAATATGAACCACACTATTTTCTGTATCTTTTTATACTCAGATTTTGTGTATTAATTTCTGTGGCAGACTTTTATAATGACCTCCCTCCCAAGGATATAGTCACCTCTTAATCCACAAAACCTATCAGTGTGAGAGTATATGAAAATATACATGATTAATCTAAGGATCTTGAGAGGAGAGGTTATCCTGGATTATCTGGTTGGGCCCTAAATTCAATCACATGTATCCTTATAAAAGAGAAGCAGAGGGAGACTCAACAGGGGACCAAAGAGGGAAGACGGTAATGTGACAATGGAATCAGAGAAAGGTATTGCAAGATGCTACACTGCTGGGTTTGCAGATGGAGGAGGTGGACCTGAGCCAAGAAATATAACTCCAGAACCTGGAAGAGGCAAGGAATAGACATCCTCCTCAAGCCTCTTGAGGGAGTATGGTACTGCCAACACCTCGATTTCTGCCCAGTGAAACTGATGTTGAATTTCTGGCCTTTAGAACTGTGAAAGAATAAGTGTTGGGTTTCTTAAGCCACAAAGCTGGTTTTTAATTTGTTAAAGCAGCCACAAGAAACTAGTGTAACTTCTCTTTGATTTTCTTTTTTCAGCTTAACTGAAGTATATAATTGACAAATAAAAATTCTATGTATTCATGGTTGACATGGTTTTGCTCCGGGTCCCCACCCAAATCTCATGTCAAATTGTAATCCCCATGTGTCAGGAGAGGAGCCTGGTGGGAGGTGGTTGAATCATGGGGACATACTTCTCCCTTGCTGCTCTCCTGATAGAGTTCTCATGAGATCTGGTTGTTTGAAAGTGCATAGCACTTTGTCAGAAGAGTAGATTGCAAAAATTTTCTCCCATTCTGTAGGTTGCCTGTTCACTCTGATGGTAGTTTCTTTTGCTGTGCAGAAGCTCTTTAATTTAATTAGATCCCATTTGTCAATTTTGGCTTTTGTTGCCATTGCTTTTGGTGTTTTAGACATGAAGTCAAAGAACTCAAACAAATTTACAAGAAAAAAGCAAACAATCCCATGTCAAAGTGGGTGAAGGATATGAACAGACACTTCTCAAATGAAGATATTTTTGCAGCCAACAGACACATGAAAAAATGCTCATCATCACTGGTCATCAGAGAAATGTAAATCAAAACCACAATGAGATACCATCTCACACCAGTTAGAATGGCGATCATTAAAAAGTCAGGAAACAACAGGTGCTGGAGAGGATGTGGAGAAATAGGAACACTTTGACACTGTTGGTGGGACTGTAAACTAGTTCAACCATTGTGGAAGTCAGTGTGGCAATTCCTCACGGATCTAGAACTAGAAATACCATTTGACCCAGCCATCCCATTACTGGGTATATACCCAAAGGATTATAAATCATGCTGCTATAAAGACACATGCACACGTATTTTTATTGCGGCACTATTCACAATAGCAAAGACTTCGAACCAACCCAAATGTCCAACAATGATAGACTGGATTAAGAAAATGTGGCACATATACACCATGGAATACTATGCAGCCATCAAAAAGGATGACTTCATGTCCTTTATAAGGACATGGATGAAGCTGGAAACCATCATTCTCAGCAAACTATCGCAAGGACAAAAAACCGAACACCGCATGTTCTCACTCATAGGTGGGAACTGAACAATGAGAACACGTGGACACAGGAAGGGGAACATCACACACCGGGGACTGTTGTGGGGTGGGGCGAGGGGGGAGGGATAGCATTATGAGATATACCTAATGTAAATGACGAGTTAATGGGTGCAGCACACCAACATGGTGCATGTATACATATGTAACAAACCTGCATGTAGTGCACATGTACCCTAGAACTTAAAGTATAATAAAAAAAGAATAGTAAAAAGAAAAAGGAAGTGCATAGCAATCCCCCCCCCAACACTCTGTATCTCTCCTGCTCCATCACAGTAAAGTGTCTGCTTCTCCTTTACCTTCCACCATGATTGAAAGTTCCTGAGGCCTCCTAGCCATGCTTCCTGTTAAGCCTATGATACTGTGAGTCAATTAAACCTCTTTTCTTCATAAATTACCCAGTCTCAGGTAGTTCTTTGTAGCAGTATGAAAATGAACTAATACAGAAAATTGGTACCAGAAAAGTGAAGTATTACTATAAAGAAATATGAAAATGTGGAAGCAGCTTTGGAACTGGGTAATGGGAAGAGGTTGGAACAGTTTGGAGGGCTCAGAAGAAGACAGGAAGACATAGGAAAGTTTGAAAATTCATAGATTTGTAGAATGGTTGTGATCAAAATGCTGATAGTGATATAGACAATGAAGTCCAGGCTGAGGTGGTCTCAGATGGAGATAAAGAACTTATTGGGAACTGGAGTAAAGGTCACTCTTGCTATGTTTACCAAAGAGACTGGAGGCATTGTGCCCCTGCTCTAGAGATCTGTGGAACATTGAACTTGAGAGAGATGATTTAGTGAATCTGGCAGAAGAAATTTCTAAGCAGCAAAGCATTCAAGATGTGTCCTGGCTGCTTCTAAAAGCCTACAGTCATTTGCATAAACAAAGAAATGACCTGAAACTAAAACTTATATTTAAAAGGGAAGCAGAGCATAAAAGTTTGGAAAATTTGCAGCTTGACCATGCAGTAGAAAAGAAAACCCCATTTTCTGGGGAGGAATTCTAGGCTGCAGACATTTGCATAATGAAAGAAGAGACAAATGTTAATAGCCAAGAGAGTAGAGAAAATGCCTCCAGGGCATTTCAGAGACCTTCCTGGCAGCCCCTCCCATCACAGGCCTGCAGGCCTAGGAAGGAAAAATGCATTCATGGGCCAGGCCCAGGGTCCTCTGTTTGGTGCAGCCTTAAGACATGGTGCACTGCATCCCAGCCACTCCAGCTCCAGCCATGGCTAAAAGGGGCCAAGGCCCAGCCCAGGCTGTTGCTTCTGAGGGTGTGAGCCCCACGCCTTGGCAGCTTCCATGTGGTGTTGGATCTGTGCATGTGCAGAAGGCAAGAGCTGAGGTTTGGGAACCTGTGCCACGATTTCAGAGGATTTATGGAAATGCCTCATAGTCCAGGCAGAAGTCTGCTGCAGGGGAAGAGCCCCCATGGAGAACCTCTACTAGTGCAGTGCAGAAGGGAAATGTGGGGTTGGAGCCCCCATACAGAGTCCCCACTGGGGCACTGCCTAGTGCAGCTGTAAGAGGAGTGCTACCATCCTCCAGACCTCAGAATGGTAGATCCACTGACAGCGTGCCCTGTGTGCCTAAAAACACCACAGGCACTCAATGCTAGCCTGTGAAAGCAGCCATGGGGGTTGTATCCTGCAGAGCCGCAGAGGCAGAGCTACGCAAGGCTGTGGGAGCTCACCCCTAGCATCAGTGTGGCCTGGATGTGAGAGATGGAGTCAAATGAAATCATTTTGGAGCTTTAAGATTTAATGACTTCCCTGCTGGGTTTTGGATTTGCATGGCTCCCTTAGCCCCTTTGTTTGGGCCAACTTTTCCCTTTCGGAATGGGAGTATTTACCCAATGCCTGTACCCCTATTGTATCTTGAAGTAACTAACTTGTTTTTGATTTTACAAGCTCATAGGTAGAAGGGACTTGTCTTTTAAGCATAGCGTAAAAGTTTGGAAAATTTGCAGCTTGACCATGCAGCAGAAAAGAAAAACCCATTTTCTGGGGAGGAATTCAAGGCTGCAGAAATTTGGATAAGTAAAGAAGAGCCAAGTGGTCATACTCAAGACAATGGGGAAAATGCCTCCAGAGCATTTCAGAGACCTTCATGCCAGCCCCTCCCCTCAGATGAGACTTTGGACTTCAGACTTTTGAGTTAATGCTAAAATGAGTTAAGACTTTGGGGGACTATTGGGGAGGCAATAATTGGTTTTGATATGTGAGAAGAACATGAGATTTGGGAGGGATTTGGATTTCCCAAATCTCTTTGGGAAAAAAACACTGAAAATAAATACAATGTTAGAAAAGTAATACAGGTTTGCTCTTACTTTAACTGACTGTCCTTTTTATCCTCATGGCCAAACATAGCCAGATGTCAACAATGAGAGTTAGTTACCATCTTCTTGAAGCATCTTTAGGATTTTTCAGTTTATTTCTTATTTATTTACATATGGTTATATCAACACAATAAATGTTACAGTATTTAGACCACAGTTCCATTACTCTAGGTTGCAGCTAAATTTTTGGGCTTGGTAAGTTGTTTTTGTTTAGTTGGATCCTGTTTTTACTGGATTAAGATGATAAAAATAAAAATCTAATAATAGATTCATGTGGAGTGATATTATTGCTAACGATGGGCTGGCAAATCTTGTGTCAAATAACAAAGAAGTTAAAGCAAGCTTTCTTGCCCTATCCCTGTTAAGATCAGACAGACTTCATTAGGACAAACAGAAGAAAACTTTCATCGGTATACCGATCTGAAACCTATAAAAATAATGAGGTGAGGATGGAGAATTGGGCAGGGGATATTTCAGCTCAACAGGCAGATCTAATAAAGTCTCAGTTGACCCAGTAGGGAACTTGGAGAAAAAAGATTATGCAGTATCTGTTCAATGCTACACATTGGACAAAAAAGACCAAAACTTAATACCTCTCTGGAGCTTAGTCAAATGTTTCTTGGGAGCTGGCCTTGCTGAGTTCTAGTGTACATCTCTTCCTGAGGAAAAGCTTAGAAGAGGAAGCCTATTGGGATGAGTATAGCCCTTGTCACTGCAGGTGGTCTCTGGATTACAATTGGTCTCATAGTCTTTCTCCTCTATGCATTCTAAATCTCCCTACCCTTCAGCTATTACCCCAGCTGGTCTTGGTAGTTTACTATGTGGTACAGCCCAAACTCTTATTGAAGAGGTCTCTGAGCCCCTGATAACCATATCCTTCTTAGGTTGGTGTTGTAGTATTTGTACACTCAGAGTTGCTATTAGGCAAGGGGATACACAAGGTGCCCAAGTGGATCACCTGACTTGCACATATATCTCTCTTGATCACATTATGTAACAACAACCCTATATCTACCTGAGGATCAGAGTGAAGTACTGTCAAAATCGTGACTCTTTGTCTTGCTTGCTAGTCTCTGGATATGAGGAATCCACAGTGCCCAACCAGGAACCATATCTCATATTTCCACGGAACCCTTGAAGTATCCCTTTGCTACAGGGTGCTCTCTTTGGAGGCCAGGACCGATAACCTTACAGAGCTCAGAGTTGTGGGGTCAAGAAGCTCAACTCTACAAGTGGGCCACTGACAATTATAGTAAGAGGGGTCACTCCTGCTTCTACCATATGGTTTCTGGACTGATGTATTCTCCCTATTAAGAAGGTCTCTGATTCAGTGTGCATAATGCTTCCTGAAAGTCAGCACCACATCCTCAAAGAGTACTGCCTCTGGATTAGCAGTATGTATGTTGTTTCTTCATCATGCCATTGCACTGCTCCTTCAGACCAGATGGTTCTGGGTAGTGCAAGTATATCATATGACCAGTGGATCCCATGGTCATTGACTCACTCCAGCGTGTTCTTTACCATGAAGAGGGCCTCCTGATTGGATGTTATATTGTTGATATTCTATAACTAAGGTTCATGGTTCAGGCACTCTTGAACTAGTGGTGCTAGGCAAAATTCTGCAGGCAGGAAAGGTAAATCTGTATCCAGAATATGTTCCTGTATCTATGAGAATGAAACACTAACCCTACCATGACAGAAGATGCTTATCACTTTGACACTGTTTGTTAATTGTTTGTTAAATGTCCTCAGCTTTTAAAAATTTTCCTGTTGTAGAGCAGTACAATGTAATAACAACCAGACATTGTTTTATTTGTATTTATTATCCACCCTTATCTTTTACTTTTCAGTGCCTGTGAAAGATAAAGGAGAAAGAATCAGGGTTGGAGAACTGGAAAAGTCTTGGCCAACCAAATAGGCAACCCTGCAGCAAAGATTGCCCATTAGAAGAGTCAAATGCTAGGAAGAAATTGCAAACCCTACTATTCTCACTGTGCTCAAACTTCGACTAGGAACTTCCACAAAGAGTGTGGCCTTGGCTTGAACATTGCAGCAGCAGATTATGTAGGTGCTGAACTTGGAGTTTTGCACTTCTCACAGCTGACAGCAAATTCTTTCTTCAAGGGAGACCTGAGCAGTCCTCCATATCTGCCAAATTACTGCATAGGAACAAAAAGGAGCCCTCCATTCATCTAAGAAGCAAAATGAACTAGCAGAGAGAGCTTTGGCATCAGGCAAAT